>NC_000002.12:25085512-25237028 GCF_000001405.40 Homo sapiens | reverse complement strand
ACAGTCTCTCTTCTGCCTCCTAGGCCGTTGGCATCCACTGTGAATGATAAGCTGGAGCTGCAGGAGTGTCTGGAGCATGGCAGGATAGCCAAGGTCAGCTCCAGCGTCTAGAACCTCTGCTGGGGGGCAGGGAGAAGGAAGGGCAGGATGAGGTGGAGCGGTGGCCAGGGCCTTGTCCCGCCTGCTTCTCCAGCTAGTGTGGAGAATGCAATTTAGGAGACGGTGCAGGGTCATGCAGCAGGGCAGCCAGAGGAGGGCCCAGGGCTGCTGGCCTTCAGCCCTTCCTCCCTGGTGAGTGTCGCCCATCACCCCCGGTAGACACTGAGGAGTCTTTACCAAGACCTGGTTGTGCTGTGGCTTTTTTTTCATTTTTAAATTTTTTGGCCAAAACCTATTACAAAAGCCCTCAAAGCAGCCTCCTGTGATGTGGAAGCTCCATTTCTCTCTGGAGCTGGAATCTCCCGGAGTGACTACCTGGGGCACTGGGTTCTGTGTCAGCAGGTTCCAGCATTCAGAACCACTGGCAGCTCCGAGGGCATCTTTGAGCCCCTCAGTAACTTGGCATCCTTTAGCCTACAAGTTACTCCATCTCTGAAAGAACTAATTCTTTGGAAGACTTGGAAAGTACAGTGGCTACAGCTTCTACTTCTAAAGTCTGTGGCTAGGCCGGGTGCGGTGGCTCACGCCTATAATCCCAATACTTTGGGAGGCCGAGGCAGGCGGATCACCTGAGGTCAGGAGTTTGAGACCAGCCTGGCCGACACGGTGAAACCCTGTCTGACTAAAAATATAAAAATTAGCCAGGCATGGTGGCGGGCGCCTGTAGTCCCAGCTACTCAGGAGTCTGAGGCATTAGAATCGCTTGAACCCGGGAGGTGGAGGTTACAGTGAGCTGAGATCGCACCACTGCAGTCCAGCCTGGGTGACAGAGCGAGACTCCGTCTCAAAAAAAAAAAAAAAAGTCTGTGGCTAGATGGATCTAAGATTGGCCAGGTGACCTCCAAGTAGGAAGAAAAGTGAGGCTGTGGGGTCTGTGGAGGCTCCTGCCCTGCGAACTCTGCTCACTCAGAGCCATACCCAGCCCCCTGGGTGGACCAGGCCCTGTCAGGGTTTGGCGAGTACCTGGCATATTTGGTAGACGCATGACCAGTGTTGGCTGGTGAATGAATTCGTGCTTATTCCTCTTTTCTCCTCTTCATCTAGTTCAGCAAAGTGAGGACCATTACTACGAGGTCAAACTCCATAAAGCAGGGCAAAGACCAGCATTTTCCTGTCTTCATGAATGAGAAAGAGGACATCTTATGGTGCACTGAAATGGAAAGGTACCCGGGTTGTGCTGGCATCTGGCTGCGGTGTGGCTGTTCTGATTGCTGTGCTTGCTGCGGGGGTCCTCTGCCTTTCCCACCTGACTTGTTTTCCACAAACGTCCTGGGAACAGTGGGTTTTATCAAGCATTTCCCAACATGGCAGACTCCTGGGGTGGACTCCTGACACCCCAGGCTCCTGGGTATTTTAAGGCTGGTCCCAAGTAAGAGGAGTCTAGGGGCCAGGAGCAGTGGCTCATGCCTATAATCCCAGCACTTTGGGAGGCCGAGGCGGGTGGATCACCTGAGGTCAGGAGTTCGAGACCAGCCTGGCCAACATGGCGAAACCCCGTCTCTACTAAAAATACAAAAATTAGCTGGGTGTGGTGGCGGGTGCCTGTAGTCCCAGCTACTCAGGAGGCTGAGACAGGAGAATCGCTTGAACCTGGGAGGTGGAGGTTGCAGTGAGCCGAGATTGCGCCACTGTGCTCCAGCCTGTGCAACAGAGAGATTCCATCTCAAAGGGAAAAAAAAAAAAAAGAGGAGTCTAGGAAATCCCCTGCTGCCTTGTCTCCCAGAGACCCTGCTGATCCCCCAGGGAACCACTGCAGTGACAGGACCTTAACTTGTGGTGCCAATTTTATAGGTCTTTTGTAAACCAAGCCAGCATAGGGCCAGGCAGACCTCGCAGCCTCAACACCCTGATTTGATGCAAATGGGACTTTCGGGGCTGGATGACCTTCTTGTTCTCTGAGTGTAACTAGGATTTAGCCAGACAAAGAGACCATTTACACAAACAACCAGAGCAAACAGGAAATCCTTCAGCTTCTGAAGTCAGGCAGGAGTTCGGCTCCTTTTTCGCCTTCCCTGCTCTTGATGGGGAGGATGCTAGGGCTACGTGTTCGTTACATGCAGACTCCAGGTGTACGTTGCCGAGCTAACCCTGCAGGAGAGGAGAACTAGAGAGTGTGTCCTGGAGGTATTTCTGAGGGATTGTTCAAAATTACTCTTATTTCTGCTGGGTTGTGAAACTCTAGGCAGTGATGACCTTACTACCTTTAAGGTCACAGAAACCAGCACAGTGCCTGGCACATGGTTGGTGATCTGAGTGCCGGGTTGTTTATAAAGGACAGAAGATTCGGCAGAACTAAGCAGGCGTCAGAGGAGTTGGTGGGTGTGAGTGCCCCTGTCCCTGCACTTCGGGTGGCTGCTGGTCCTCCGGGTCCTGCTGTGTGGTTAGACGGCTTCCGGGCAGCCTGGTCTGGCCAGCACTCACCCTGCCCTCTCTGCCTTTTCTCCCCCAGGGTATTTGGTTTCCCAGTCCACTATACTGACGTCTCCAACATGAGCCGCTTGGCGAGGCAGAGACTGCTGGGCCGGTCATGGAGCGTGCCAGTCATCCGCCACCTCTTCGCTCCGCTGAAGGAGTATTTTGCGTGTGTGTAAGGGACATGGGGGCAAACTGAGGTAGCGACACAAAGTTAAACAAACAAACAAAAAACACAAAACATAATAAAACACCAAGAACATGAGGATGGAGAGAAGTATCAGCACCCAGAAGAGAAAAAGGAATTTAAAACAAAAACCACAGAGGCGGAAATACCGGAGGGCTTTGCCTTGCGAAAAGGGTTGGACATCATCTCCTGATTTTTCAATGTTATTCTTCAGTCCTATTTAAAAACAAAACCAAGCTCCCTTCCCTTCCTCCCCCTTCCCTTTTTTTTCGGTCAGACCTTTTATTTTCTACTCTTTTCAGAGGGGTTTTCTGTTTGTTTGGGTTTTGTTTCTTGCTGTGACTGAAACAAGAAGGTTATTGCAGCAAAAATCAGTAACAAAAAATAGTAACAATACCTTGCAGAGGAAAGGTGGGAGAGAGGAAAAAAGGAAATTCTATAGAAATCTATATATTGGGTTGTTTTTTTTTTTGTTTTTTGTTTTTTTTTTTTGGGTTTTTTTTTTTACTATATATCTTTTTTTTGTTGTCTCTAGCCTGATCAGATAGGAGCACAAGCAGGGGACGGAAAGAGAGAGACACTCAGGCGGCAGCATTCCCTCCCAGCCACTGAGCTGTCGTGCCAGCACCATTCCTGGTCACGCAAAACAGAACCCAGTTAGCAGCAGGGAGACGAGAACACCACACAAGACATTTTTCTACAGTATTTCAGGTGCCTACCACACAGGAAACCTTGAAGAAAATCAGTTTCTAGAAGCCGCTGTTACCTCTTGTTTACAGTTTATATATATATGATAGATATGAGATATATATATAAAAGGTACTGTTAACTACTGTACAACCCGACTTCATAATGGTGCTTTCAAACAGCGAGATGAGTAAAAACATCAGCTTCCACGTTGCCTTCTGCGCAAAGGGTTTCACCAAGGATGGAGAAAGGGAGACAGCTTGCAGATGGCGCGTTCTCACGGTGGGCTCTTCCCCTTGGTTTGTAACGAAGTGAAGGAGGAGAACTTGGGAGCCAGGTTCTCCCTGCCAAAAAGGGGGCTAGATGAGGTGGTCGGGCCCGTGGACAGCTGAGAGTGGGATTCATCCAGACTCATGCAATAACCCTTTGATTGTTTTCTAAAAGGAGACTCCCTCGGCAAGATGGCAGAGGGTACGGAGTCTTCAGGCCCAGTTTCTCACTTTAGCCAATTCGAGGGCTCCTTGTGGTGGGATCAGAACTAATCCAGAGTGTGGGAAAGTGACAGTCAAAACCCCACCTGGAGCAAATAAAAAAACATACAAAACGTACTGGTGCTTTCCTGTCTAAGTCGCCTTTTGTGTGTTCTTTTATGAGGCCCCCACCATCCACCCCTCTGTGCACAAGGCGGCTCCCGGCCCCTGGAATGTGATGTTTTTGGTCATCTCCAAAGGCTGCAGTTTTATACTGGGAGGCTGATGACACCTTTTATTATAATTATTCTTATGGTTCTGGTTATAATTATGTTTGTTTTAAGATTTTCTTTAAGAAAACAAAAACCCAACACCCTTCCCTTTAGGTTTCAAACCAAGGTGCGGGAGCAGGGTGCTTCTGAGTTAGCGGTGGCTCTGGTGCCCTGGCTCCCACCCCTCGGGCCAGGTGGGCCACTGGGCATGGTGACAGCTGGGCGGCCAGGGAGTCCCCAAGGTCTGCCTTCTGGGCTTGTCACTCTTCTCTTCTACTTCCCCTCCTCTTGAGTCGGGTGTGTCAGGGCTGGAGGGAGGACCGGCCGTCTCTCTCCTTGTGTGTGTGATTGGAGTGGTGTGTATTTCTTTTCTAGTACTTGGTCTGATGATAGCTGTGCTCTTACCTCGAGTCAGCAGCACCTGGAGCCCCAAGTGCTCAACACTTTGTTCTACTTCCTACAAGGCAGGCGGCCTGGCGTCAGTAGTAGGAAGGGATGGCATTGTTGGCTCCAGGGTGAGGGCCCGACGGGCAGGTGCTTGCCTGGGTAGATGGGGTGTAGATATGTGGCATATAGAGATATATATTTTATAATGGGAGGGGGGATGGCACCTCCTGGGACTGGTAGAGCTGGGAGGTGTGTCGGCAAGCACATGGCCCCAAGTCCACGTCCCTAGAAAGATGGGGCCTACAGTGATAGGCGCTCTATAAATACATAGATAGGGTCATGTTTAAGAAATATTATGGGGTGGGGAGTGGGGGAAGCAGGCTTAGTGTGCTGAGCCTCGGTCCCCACTGCAGACCTAAACCCCACACCAATCAGTCAATCTCACACGCATACACAGGAGCATATTTCTGTACTGATGCATAATGAATGCACTCACACACACACACACACGCCAGGGGGCTCCCAGCACTCTTCTCCCAGGGTTCAGGACTTTGTGGAGTCAGCCCGTGCAGCTATTTACCTCTGTTGCCCTGATTGCAGGTAGACTGTCAATCCCAGAAGTTGCTAGGTGCTGAGGCAGGAAAAGGAGGAGGTTTCTTTTAGCAGGTGCTCTCCTCTAGCAGGTAGTGTTCTATCTCTTTTGCCCCTGGTGATGTCAAAAGATTCTTCTGTTAGCAACCTGTGATACTGACCTGCAACTCTAGGCACCAGTCAAGTCAGCCCTCAACTCCCCCTACCTATTCTCCCCAACTGAAATCAAATTGACATCCAGGTCTGTCTTGGCCAGGGGGCTTCCATTGGGGAAAAAAAATGGGACAGTGAACCTCACCTATTGAATAAACCAAATTAGTAATTAGTGACAAAACCAAACCAAGGCTTTGGACCCCCTGCTCATTACTCAGGAGTAAATTCACACAGCTGGTGGCCGGTCTCACCCCTTTTTGGGGTGCTTGGTCCTGGACCCCAATCTACTGTCTCCTCGACAGATTGGTGTTTAAGATCATGCCCAGTTGCTTCCTGTCACCTCTTGACAGGTGGTGACTGGGCTGCTGTGGGGCTGGAGCAGCGAGGAAGGGAGCCTCTGCCCCCTCAGTGGAGTCCCTGTGCTAACTGTGGTGCTCACCCAGCTCCTCCTTGCTCCCGCGGGGCTCTGTCCTTCGGGCCTGGAGTCCACCAGCGCCACTCCAGGAGGGCTGGGGGAGGAGGGGCTGCCTCAGGCAGTCCAAGGTGCTCCCTCCCCCGCTGGCCAATGCTAAGGTCTTCCCGGCTCCCAGGGTCAGGACAGAGTCTTCTAAGGCTCAGGCTCTCCCAAGCCACTGCTTAGTGACAGTTAGCCTTTCCCAGCGGCCCAAGCTCCACCGGAACTGGGCCTGGTGCTCCAACCAAAGGGTTGGTGTTGGGACTTGGGAAGAGACTTGGTAGCCAAGGGCATGGCAAGCCTGGGGGATTCCTGTGGGCCGGCTTGCTCGAGGAGGGAGTGCTGGGCACAGAGGAGCCCTTATGGCTGACAGCTTGAGAGCACTTGTTCCTCCAGATCTAGCCACTTGACCAGGCCCTAGAATGGACCAGATGCCCCAGGGGTCATGGCCCCCCCCCCCCCCCCCTTGCAGGGACGAGAGTTAACAATCACCAGCTTTTCTTCCGGCCCAGCCTGTGTGCTTGGTCTCACAGTAGAATTTAGGAGAGTGTGGGGCTTTGGGATTGTGCCAACTTGGCCAAGCTGAGATATGCTTAATCCACCTCAACGCTGGGGCCTCTGGGGACAGGTATTGGGTCACCTTCCAAGGGGTGCTGAACTTCAGCAGGCTGTAGATAAGGCAGAGGTTAGAGGCAGTGGAGTGGGGGAACCAAGAAGGCCTAGGGAAAATTGCCAGGCATATTCCCTGTGGAATTTTCTTTCCGAAGAGTAGGCCCATTTCCCCCTTAGAAACAAGGGTTCTGGGGGCTGATGACAGCTTCCCCTGCAGGTGCCAGGTGGCGCATGATGCCAAAGAGATCCGTGGCTCTTGCCTGGGGGAGGTAGCCAGGTGCTCGTGCTGGGGACACAGTCCTTGGCCTCCTGCCTAAGCAGGAAGCTAGTTTCCAGCAGGCGGCTGGTACTAACCCCCCGCCCCACGGGAGCGACAGGCTGGTGCACCGGCAGACTGGGGGGCCGCAGGCGGGCACTAGCAGGGGTCTGCAGTCCATAGATGATGACATGAATCTGTTGCTGTCCTTTTGTCTCTAGGCCCCAGAGACTTCTTGCTATTGAACATCCTATTGGAAAGCAAACTTTCCAAGAGAGCACCCGGGACCTGTTAGCTTTTGAAACAGGCCTGGGTGTGATTGACTGGTAGAGATGCCTGTGTGATTTTTGGCGCATTGCAGGAGTGTGGATTGGGACAGGCACCCCAGCAGGAAGGAAGGCTGACACCAAAGGGGTCTCACAGGGCCCAGCTCCCCTTGCTTCCCGATAATTGGCCACCAGGCCATGGCGACTCTGGGGAAGCCTAGATGGGAACACCCACCTTCTCCAGCAGTAGAAGGAATATTTCAGCAGAGCCATCTGGGAGATGTTCTTATAGGAAAACTGCAGTCATTCATTTCATAGTTTTGCTTATATAAATAGAGTACATTTGGGAGGCAGTTTTGAATTCCTGTTGCTACTCTGCTTGGTGCGGAGTTGCAGTGGCCCCAAGTGTCTTTCAGAGCTGTTGCTTTTAGGATCCCCCTCAAGCTGTGGGTTAGGGCCAGGGCAGGGAGGGGGTGCTGCCTGGCACTGTGCCCTGAAGAGGGCTGCTTGCTTCCTTTGGTCGGGAGCACGGCAGAGCCAACATTCTGGTGGGAACCGAGTTTCTAGCCAGGCCCCTGTTTTGGTCCCGGGAGGTGAGTAATCTGAGTTTGTCATTGCGTATTCTCCACGCTGCCTGCTCTCAGTGCTGGAGACTAGAGAGCGACCCTGGAGTTGTCCTCTGGGAGTCCTGCCTGTTTGCCAGGGAGCAGCTGAAACCTCCCCGCTCCCAATCCCGGGGGTGGAAAAGGTGTAGTGGAGGAATGGTCTGGAGCTGGGATGGCCCTTCTGGCCATGCCCTGCTGAGCCAGGATTAAGGAAAGTGTCAGCCGCCTCCTTACCAGGCCCTGTGCTGGGGTCAGGAGGACCGGGAGGAGAGGGAAGGGGTGAGAGGATGGACTCTGCTGTTGTAGTGTGAGCTCTGGAATCTTTACGTTTTGGTAAAGGCAGGCCAGGGTCTTTGAGGATCGAGTTGGGGAACCTTGCCTCTGTGTTTCCGAGACCCAGCTAAGGTGGGCCTTTGGTGGGTGACCTGTCTCTGACCCGAGGCAGCAGAGTTTTGGGGGAGGGAGAAACAAGCAAGGAGCAGGGAGGACAAGGACACAAGATCCCTTTGCTGGTGGTGACTTACTCACTTCCCCCACCAGAGGGCCTGGGACTCCCGAAACTCCCGTAACTGGAAAGCTCCCTGGCTCAGCTCCACTGGGGGGTGAGGAGGGCGGCTCCCTCAGCCCCAGCCTAGCGGCCTCCAACCCTGTGCCTGAGAACATGAGCAGCGGTCTAAAGCATCCCCTAGTCCCATTTCACTTCACAGACCGATTTGGTTGCACAGCCCTAGAATTCAACAGACAACAAAAATGCTGAAATTCCTTAGAATACGCAGAGGGAGGAGGTGACTCACCAAGGTGCTAAAACATTTTATTAAAAATATATATTGTTAAATTAAGTCTGCTGTCTGGACAATGACTGTTTGTTTTGTTTTCTTGTAGTGGAGTTTAAAAGAGACTATTATTTTACTCTGATATATTATTATTAAAAAGGCATTTTAACTTTGTACTTGAAAACTAAATGAGCGATTTCATGTGTTTTAGCTGAGGCATTGAAGTAGCGGGTGCTTACTTATTTGTGGGAAATCATGTATTCATACTGAAGAATAAACTCCGTAGCTGATTTGGTAATAACTTTTACTGTTACAGACGATTTCGCTTTGACCCCGGTGGCAGAGCACTTTTACTCCACATTCCACGCAGCTAAATGCAGGACTTCCCAGACTCTTCCCTCCCCAGCCCTCTTTCCTTTCTCTTAAGTTCCTCTTTTCTCCTTTATTATTATTATTTTTTTTTCCTGGTTCCAGCATCCTTTCACCACTGTATTTTTTTTTTTTTTTTTTTTTTTTTTTTTTTTTTTTTTTTTTTTTTTTTTTTAGGGTTGCTTCTCTATTTATTGACAATAATAATGTACATTTCACAGTCTGGTTCTAGGACATTCAGGGAAGGGCGAGTGGGGGCCCGAGGGGTCCCTGCCCCACCCGCCTGGTGTCCTGTTGTATCTCTGTGTAAGTGATGCTCGTGACATAGCTGTTTATGAAATAATTAAAGAGGTCAATGCGTACAACAGATGTAGAAAGTCTGTCAGTTCCGCCTTCATCACATTTTTTTTTGTGCCCAGAAGAATATAATAAAGCTCCTTTCTAATGTACTTGTGCTGGAGAACACTTGAATAAATGGACTGTTTTTGTGCAAAAAGAAAAATGGAAAAGCACCGTAATAATGTCGTTTTGTCTTGCGTCTCCTTTCCCTGCCATGACTGTTCACAGCCTCCTCCAGGGGGCTCAAGTACCTAAGCGGGGAGGTGCTAGCGTCGGGCCCAGATGATGTAGGGCCTCCCTAAAAAACGTCACCTGTGTGAGCATCAAATTAGTAAATGGGAGCTGTCCCCTGGGTGCAGGAAAGAGTTTGGTTGACTGGAAGCTGAAAAATAAGTTATGGTGAGACAGGGTTGCTGGGAAAGCAAATTCAGCTCTGGGCTGAGCAACAGAAGTTTTCATACCAGAGCAGGGAGAAGAGCGCGCCTTATGCCAATGCCTTGGTCAGACACGGCGCGAGGAGGATTTTTGAACCTAGGTACTCAAACTCTAAACAGGGTTTTGGCAACAAGCGAGCATCCAGAGTGGTAGATGGTCGGGAATGTCAAGGGGCCCCAGAACAAATCGGGGCATTTGTCCTAGAAAAAGCAGGAATTGGTAGGCCAATGTTTGTAAACACGGACAGGGCGAGCCCAAAGGGCCGGGGTCTTTCCAGGTGTTCCACAGGCAGGTGGAATGGTGTGGGGGAAGCCAGTGTCAGCTCAGCATAAGGGGAGGGAGGTCCCTTTCCCTGCTCCAGCCAACAATGCAAGGGCCACCTTGAGTGCAGTGACAGCCACTCAGGGATACCCCCAGTTTTCCCTTCAGACCCCAAGTCTGAGTTCCTCTCACTGTATGGCCCTCCCCAGAGCTGTCTTGCAAGTGGACAGTGCCTCATGGTCTGCAGAGCCCTTCACCCAGTGTTCCCTTTGTCTGCATGACTCAATAATCACTAGTTCTCTGTCCCCACCTATCTAAAGTGACCATCTGGCTGGGCGCAGTGGCTCATGCCTGTATTCCCAGCACTTTGGGAGGCTGAGGTGGATGGATCACCTGAGGTTGGGGGTTCAAGATCAGCCTGGCCAACATGCTGAAACCGCATCTCTACTAAAAATACAAAGATTAGCCGGGTGTGGTGGTGCACGCTTGTAATCCCAGCTACTTGGGAAGTTGAGGTAGGAGAATTGCTTGAACCTGGGAGGTGGAGGTTGCAGCGAGCTCTCATTGCGCCACTGCACTCCAGTGTGGGCTGGATACAGAGCGAGACTGTATCAAATAAATAAATAAATAAATGTGACCATCTGAATAAATGCAAGAACTGGGATGATTCATACCACATCTCAACTCTAAGACCTCAAGCATCTGTGTTTCAGTTTCATCTTCTAAGTGCCTAGCAGGTCTAGCCAGTGCTTGCTTCTCTTAAAGAAGGGTTACTTGGCTGGGCATGGTGGCTCACGCCTGTAATGCCAGCACACTGGGAGGCCGAGGGAGGTGGATCACTTGAGGTCAGGAGTTCGAGACCAGCCTGGCCAACATGGTGAAACCCTCTCTCTACTAAAAATACAAAAATTGTCCAGGCATGGTGGTGGGCACCTGTAATCCCAGCTACTCTGGAGGCTGAGGCAGGAGAATTGCTTGAAACCGGGAGGTGGAGATTGCAGTGAGCTAAGATTGTGCCACTGCACTGCAGCCTGGGTGACAGAGTGAGACTCTGTCTCAAAATAAAAAATAAAAAAAAGAGGAAGGGTTACTCAAGGTTTCTCTCTTACATTAGGTTTCAGGGAGGTTTAGGACTGTACCACTTCACTGGAAGTATTGAAAGAAATTATAAGGGGAACGTTTGAGGAAAAGGGGACAACCCTACTAAACTAACAGGTTTTTTCCTCATGGGCACGTCTTTCTTTTTTCACAAAGTTGTAACTATACATTTAACTTGTACTTTTTCTTAGTATTTTTCAGTGTTGATGTAGAATTATTTTTATTTCAATAGTTTTTGGGGTACAGGTGGTTTGGTTACATGGATGAGTTCTTTAGTAGTGGAATTTTTTTTTTTTTTTCCGTGAGACAGAGTCTCGCTCTGTCGCCCAGGCTGGAGTGCAGTGGCACAATCTCAGCTCACTGCAAGCTCCACCTCCTGGGTTTACGCCATTCTGCCTCAGCCTCCCGAGTAGCTGGGACTACAGGCGCCCGCCACCATGCCCGGCTAATTTTTTTTTGTATTTTTAGTAGAGACGGGGTTTCACCGTGTTAGCCAGGATGGTCTCGATCTCCTGACCTCATGATCCACCTGCCTCGGCCTCCCAAAGTGCTAGGATTACAGGCGTGAGCCACTGTGCCTGGCTGGAATTTTTTTTTTAAATGGCTTCGTGGCACTTTCTTGTTGGATATTTGTTTCTATTTTTTTATTTTAGCTACAAATAGAGCTTCTGTAAACATCTTTATGTTTTGGCTTTTTTCTGTCCATATTTTGTATTTTTTCCTTAAAATGGATTCCCAGAAATAAAACTTATTGGAGCAAAGTAGCTGCACATTTTGGTTGGCTCCTCACACATTTGCCTGGTTCTTCAGCTCTCAGGCTGTCAGTTCAGAAAGAAGCAAACCTGGTTCTTAGTTGGACCAATTCAGAAATGTGTTCATCTCAGTGGGGAAGTCAAGACCCAAGATTTTTTTTTCTTTTTGAGAGTCTAGAAATTAGCAAGAAGCAAGAGGTATAAGCAATTTCATCTGGCCACTGAATTTTGAAAATTAGCTTATCTGGAGGAATCCTGGTAGGAGATGGAACTCGGACTGAATCTTCAAGACTTAGCTCCAAAGAGAGATGGGAGGGCTGGGAGAGGTGGGCATTGGTGCCCTTTAGCTCTGGAAGCCATGCCTGATTGTCCCAGTGTCATCAGAGCTGGGAGTGGGAGGTCTGGCAAGAACTTACGGGACAGAGGGAGCTACTGGAGCCATTTGGTTAATAAATACCATTCTGTGACAGGCCGAGTGCAGTGGCTCACACCTGTAATGCCAGCACTTTGGGAGGCCGAGGCAAGCAGATTGCCTGAGCTCAGGAGTTTGAGACCAGCCTGGGCAACATGGCAAAACCCCGTCTCTACTAAAATTACAAAAAATTAGCTGGGCGTGGTGGTGTGTGCCTGTAATCCCAGCTATTTGGGAGGCTCAGGCAGAGAATCACTTGAACCTGGGAGGGGGAGTTTGCAGTGAACCAAGATGGCGCCACTGCACTCCAGCCTGGACCACAGAGAAAAACTCTGTCTCAAAAAAAAAAATAATAATAATAATAATAATAATAATAATAATAATAATAATAATAATGATCCTGTGACAGTCCTGAGTTTAAGCAAGGCGTCATTTGGTGGCAGAGGGGTAAGGAGAGACAGGAGAAGGGTCAGGGCTGGGCTGAGTCAAGGTAGTTGTGAAGTGACAGGTCCGCAGTCCCTGAGACCGCCTCAGTGGGCAGCTCCAGCCCTGTGTCTGCCTGGGTGTGGTGGAGATGCTGCGCACCGGGCCCAGGCTTGCCGGGTCAGCACAGTGGGTCTCGAGTGGAATGGAGGAGAGAGGGAGACAAGAGGCTGCCTGGGAGCTGGCTGGTGAAGAGGCCAAGTGTGCATATAGTAGTGTGCATATAGTAGGGTCAGCTGCCAGCATGGGGAGTGGATGTAATTCCGAGGGGTGTGGGTGTGGGCACATGGCTGCTATGAGGCCAACAACAAGTTTAGTTGCAGGTGGGGGCACAAAGTCACATCCAAGGGGGACGGGACCCCTGGGACTGTCTTCTAGAGTTACTTCCAAAGCTCCCTTTCTCCTTGGCTCTAATAAACATTTTTTTTTTTTTTGAGACAGAGTTTTGCTCTTGTTGTCCAAGCTGGAGTGCAACAGTGCGATCTCAGCTCACCACAACCTCCACCTCCCAGGTTGAAGTGATTCTCCTGCCTCAGCCTCCCGAGTAGCTGGGATTATAGGCGTACACCACCACGCCCGGCTAATTTTGTATTTTTAGTAGAGATGGGGTTTCTCATGTTGGTCATGCTGATCTCGAATTCCTGACTTCAGGTGATCCACCGGCCTCAGCCTCCCAAAGTGCTGGGATTACAGGCGTGAGCCACCACGCCCGGCCTCTAATACACTTTAAAAGGGTTGAGTCCCTCAGCAGCAGTTTCCTCATTTCACCTGTGACCCTATGAGGCGGTGCAGTTGTAGGAGTAACGTATCTGTTGCTTTGGGGACTATGGGTGGAGGCCTAGGCCTCCAAGGGATGGACAACTGACACAGAAATGTTCAGAGATAGATTCAAACCTCAGGGATCAACCCGGCCAGCGCCTAATTTTTCATCCCTAAGCCCCGATGCCCTGAACCGTGTCCTGGTTAGAAGAAAGTCTATCAGGGCCGGGCACGGTGGCTCACGCCTGTGATCCCAGTAGTTTGGGAGGCCGAGGCGGGTGGATCACCTGAGGTCAGGGGTTCGAGACCAGCCTGGCCAACACGGTGAAGCCCCATCTCTACTAAAAATACAAAACTTATCCAGGCGTGGTGGCAGGCGCCAGTAATCCCAGCTACCTGGGAGGCTGAGGCAGGAGAATTGCTTGAACCTGGGAGGCGGAGGTTGCAGTGAGCAGAGATAGTGCCACTGCACTCCAGCCTGGGCAACAGAGTGAGACTCCATCTTAAAAAACAACAACAACAACAACAAAAATTAACCAGGCATGGTGGCAAATGCCTATAGACCCAGCTACTTGGGAGGCTGAGGTGGGAGGATTGCTTGAACCCGGGAGGTGGAGGTTGCAGTGAGCCAAGATGGAGACACTGTACTCCAGCCTGGGCAACAGAGTGAGACTCCATCTCAAAAAAAAAGAAAGTCCATGGTATTTGGAACCCCCGATTTGCATCCTGTGTGACCTTGGGCCTGGGTCTTCTCCTTGGCAACTTGGGTTTTGTCTTCTCTCTTCCTGCATGTGGCCTCTGGTGGCTCCACCCCCAGCAGTGGGTGTGGGGAGTTAGTTGCCATGTGCTGGGAGGCGATAGACTGCAAGGAGCCCTGCCCTCAGAACCAAGGGTGTTAGCCAAAGTCAGGGTGTTTCTTGGATCATGAAAAGGAATTTGGAGCCTCCAGGGAAGCTTTGGTCCTGATGGAATCACAAGGCCCCACTACACCTAAACACAGAGGTGGATAAAATATTCCCCCCACACCCCACTGAATGGCCATCTCTTGCCCAGCCCTGCATCAGCTGAGGTGACAGCAATAGGCAACCCTTATTGGTCACTGCTTGGCCCAGTGTGAGAACTTTGTTATCTCCCTTGTCCTTCCCCCCATAACCCACCCCTCCCTTCCTGTCTCTCTAGCCTCTCTGCAGCCTCCCCGTGCAGCTCTGAATCCCACCATGCTTCTCAGACGTGGCTCTGTTTGGCATCATCAGTTTCACTGTTTCTCCCAGAGCACACAAACACGCCTCATGGCACCCATCTGTTTTATGCACATACACACATACACACACACACAGACACACACACTGCCCTTTACCACCCCCTGAAGCCCCGCTCTATTTCTCTTTTTTTTTTTTTTTTTGAGACGAAGTCTCACTCCGTCACCCAGGCTGGAGTGCAGTGGCGCGATCTCGGCTCACTGCAAGCTCCGCCTCCCGGGTTCACGCCATTCTCCTGCCTCAGCCTCCAGAGTAGCTGGGACTACAGGCACCCGCCACCACGCCCGGCTAATTTTTTCTATTTTTTTAGTAGAGACGGGGTTTCACTGCATTAGCCAGGATGGTCTCAATCGCCTGACCTTGTGATCCGCCTGCCTCAGTCTCCCAAAGTGCTGGGATTACAGGCGTGAGCCACCGCGCCCGGCCAGCCCCGCTCTATTTCTCTGCTCCACTTGACAGCAAAGATTGAAAGCCCCCTCTGTATTTGACGACTGTGCTGTCTTCACTTCCGGCCTCTCCTCCATCCATTCCAGGGGCCTGGGACCCTCCACTCTTACATGAGCCCTCAGCAACTACAACCCAGGAGACTTCCCGCCTCCCTGAAACCCCTTTTTCCCTAGGCTTCCTACCTTTCCCTTTCCTCTTCTCTAGACAGTGGAGGGCCCAGGGCTCCGGGATCTGTTTCCACTCCCTGACTTCTGGAGGCCCAGGTTCCTATAACCAAATTTCAGCTGGGCCTCTCCGCCTGGGTGTTCAACAGGCATCTCAGATGTGACCTGTCAAAAACAGAATCTTTGGTCTCCTCCCAACCTGCTCCCAATCTTCTGATCTTAAAGTAACTGGTGCTTAGCTGGTGCTGAACTCTGCCTTGATCCTCTTTCTGTCCCATACCACAGCCAGTCCACCAGCTTGTTCTTTTTTTTTTTTCTCTTTTGA
The DNA here is from genome assembly GCF_000001405.40 of Homo sapiens. Classification (NCBI taxonomy): domain Eukaryota; kingdom Metazoa; phylum Chordata; class Mammalia; order Primates; family Hominidae; genus Homo; species Homo sapiens. The sequence goes on along the minus strand of NC_000002.12, from coordinate 25,221,641 downwards.
GACTGAGTCTTGCTCTGTCACCCAGACTAGAGTGCAGTGGCGCGATCTCAGCTCACTGCAACCTCCACCTCCCGGGTTCAAGCGATTCTCGTGCCTCAGCCTCCCAAGTAGCTGGGATTACAAGAGTGCACCACCGTACCTGGCTAATATTTGTATTTTTAGTAGAGACGGGGATTTCTCCATGTTTGCCAGGCTGGTCTTGAACTCCTGACCTCAAGTAGTCCGCCCGCCTCAGCCTCCCAAAATGCTGGGATTACAGGCATTAGCCACCACACCCGGCCACCACCAGCTTATTCTGACAGCACTCACCTTTCAATGTATCCCCAACTCGGCCATTTTCACCTTGTCCCTGCTGCAGCTGTAGTCCAAGTCCCCATCATCTGTCCTCTAGCTGATCTCTGTCCCCTTCATACCACAACAGGTCTCTCTGCTTCTGTTCCTGTCCCTTCCAGCCCTTTCGACACACAGAATAATCTCATTAACCCATTCATGCCTGAGGTTGCAATTTTTTGAATTTTTGCAATCAGACCTTGGTGATGATCTTGAGCAGTAGGATATAAATAACTCCCACATGCCTAGCTTTCCAATAATGGAATGCTAGGCATAAATGGATAAAATCAAACCCTTTTTTAGTCTGGACAAGGTGGCTCACGCCTGTAATCCCAGCACTTTGGGGGGCCAAGGCAGGTGAATTTCTTGAGGTCAGGAGTTCGAGACCAGCCTGGGCAACATGTCGAAACCTCGTCTCTACAAAAAATACAAAAATTAGCCGGGCATGGTGGCACATGCCTGTAATCACAGCTACTTGGGAGGCTGAGGTGGGAGAATCATCTGAGCCTAGGAAGTCAAGCCTGCAGTGAGCCAAAATTGTGCCGATGCACTCCAGCCTGGGCTACAAAGCAAAACCCTGTCGCAAAACAAAACAAAACATAAAACGCTTTTTTTTAAAAAAAAAACCATCTTGTTGCTATGGCAGTGAGAATAAACTCTCCTACCCTGGCCTGCAAAGCCCCACCTTCCTCAAGCAACACTTCAGCAGCCTGGCCTTCTTCCTCATGACCACGTCAAGCTCTCCACCATCACAGGTCCTTTGCACGTGCTCCAGGCTCTGCCTGGAAAGCTCTCATCTCCCTCCTCTGCCTGCTTCCCATCATTCAGGTCTCAGCTCAGAGAAATCCTCCTTGACTGCTCTAGCTCAAGTAGTCTTTTTTTTTTTTTTTTTTTTCCTGAGACAGTCTTGCTCTGTCACTCAGGATGGATTGCAGTGGTGTAATCAGAGCTCACTGCAGCCTTGACCTCCTGGCTAATTAAAAATTTTTTTTTGTAGAGACAGGGGTAGAGGTCTTCCTGTGTTGCCCAGGCTGGTCTTGAACTCTTGGGCTCAAGCAATCCTCCCGCCTTGGCCTCCCAGAGTGCTAGCATTACAGGCCTGAGCCACCGTGCCCAGCCCTCAAGTAGCCTTATACCCACTCCTTTTTATTTTATGTACTATCTTCAGAACTGTCAGCCTCTGACATCCTTACTTATGATTTTGCTTACTATTTGTTGTCTGTCTTCTGCACTAAGATAAAAGTTCTGCAAGGGCAGACTCTTCTTTGTTTCTCCAGCATCCCCAGGGCCCAGACCAGGTCTCATACATAATTGTATGTGGTAGTTATAATCATTGTTACAACTACTGTGCACTGAGTGCTCAGCATGTACCAGAAATGGTTCTGTATTAACTTCACAACCCTTGTGCCTGGTAATATTGTCTCATTTTACAGATGGGACACATACTCTACTCATGGTCACAGGTGCACAGTGGCAACACCCACATTTCAAAACCTGTCTGTCCACTGCAGGTTACCTGCTCCCAGTCCACCTCTCACAGGCCTCGGGCTGGTCCCCCGGGGAGTGGTAGCTCCTCACTCTCTCTTTGAGGGTTTGGATATGCGGCCCCTCAGCCTTCCCCTGCCTTAGCCCTGGGTCCTTCTCCACCCACCACCCCAGGGGGCTGGCTCTGCAGAGGGGAGGGGAAGCACAGGCAGGAGCTGGAGGCCAGGGCCAAGTCAGTTTCCCCACTGGCTGTGTGACCTCGAGTGACTCTCTTCACCAGTCCTACGCTCTGCTTAGACGGGAGAGAAAGAATTGGGCCCTGTCTGCCTCACAGGTTGTGCTGAGGATTCGATGAAGTAGAGAATGGGGAAGGGCTTGGGACAGAGTAAAGGAGCGAAGGGCCACCTGTTTTCTCTGGAGGCTCTGACCACCCAGGGGCTTGGCCCAGTGGGTCCACTGCATTGCTCTGGTGCCCGGTCTAGGGGCTTCCAGGAGAACCAGGCAGTGGCACAGGAAGGTTGGGCTTGGGGTAACCTCAGCTATGGTGTCCCAGACCCTTGTGCTGGTCCAAGTTCCCAAGAGAGGCCCATCCCTGCCTCACATTTGAACCCCTTCACTTCAGTTTTCTGTTGCAGCTCTTTGTGTCTTTTGTGGCTCTTATCACAATTGCTAATCATTTTGTTTACTTATTTATTGTGTCTCCCTCACTAGAACGGAAATCCAAGAGGGCAGAAACTGACTATGTTGTCCTCCATTGTACCGCTGGAAGCTCACTATCTGTTTGTTGAGTGAATCGGTAATCGCACCTGCAGAGATCTCCAGAACAGGGGCTCTCACTGTCTTAGAAGCCTCTTTTACTGGGCAGACCATGGTTTAGGGAGTTTTTGACAATGTCTGGGACCTCTTAAGTTAGTCCCAACTCAGCTGCCGAAACACCTAGGTTACGTCCACAGTGTCCAAGGGCAAGGAGAAGGGAAGCAGCATTTGTTTTTTGTTTGGTTTTGTTGTTGTTGTTCTTGTTTTTTTTTTTTTGTTTTTTTTTTTGAGACAGGGTCTCTCTCTGTCACCCAGGCTGGAGTGCAGTGGTACGATCAGGGCTTACCACAGCCTCGACCTCCCGGGCTCAGGTGATCCTCCCACTTCAGCTTCCTAAGTAGCTGGGACTACAGGTACATGAGAGCCCACCCAGCTGATTTTTGTATTTTTTGTAGAGACAGGGTCCCACTATGTTGCACAGGCTGGTCTCTGACTCCTGGGCTCAAGTAATCTGCCTGCCTTGGTCTCCCAAAGTGCTGAGATTCCAGGCGTGAGCCACTGCGCCCAGCCATCTTTGTTACTGAGTGTCCACTATGTCTGAGGAATTTGCTCCTGCAGCTGCAAACATGACTGAACTTCCTGTGAGCCCCGGCTTGAGTCCTTTACATGAATTACTTCATATAATTCTCATGCAAAGGCCTCAGGTAATTACGCCTATTTTACAGATGGGAAAATTGAGGTTCATTAAGATTACACAACTTGCCAGGGAGAAGGGCTGAGGTGCTGTTCCAACATCCCAGCCCACCAGGCTGTTTCCACTCTCCACACTTCCTCAAAGCAAGCATCTGCCCAAGGGGAGGGTCGCCTGGGCTCTCAGAGCAACCTCTACATTGAAAAGAATGAATCAAGGGCTTAAAAAAAAAAAACAAACTGATATAACAGGACCTTTTTCTCCTAGGCCTAAAATTATATTAACTGCACCAAATTTTAAAATAACCAAAAAAAGGAAAAAGTAAAAATTATTCATAATCCCACCTTCCTGAGATAATCACCTTTGGAATGTTTCTTTTTTCTTTTGTATTAGATACATATACTTTACTAACTTAAAACCACATTGTTCACTAATACCCTGTTTTTTAATAATTACTAGCATTTACTGCCACTTTGTGCCAGATATTTTTCTGTGAACATTTTATTGTGAACATTTTCCCACATCACTAAATATTCTTGGAAAATATCACTTATGTATGTATTTATTTATTATTTAGAGATGGGGTCTTACTCTGTCACCCAGACAGGACTGCAGCAACATGATCACAGCTCACTAAAGCCTGGAACTCCTAGGCTCAAGTGATCCTCCCACATCTGCCTCCCAAGTAGCTGGGACTACAGGGATGCCATACGCCTAGTTAATTTTTTTTTTTTTTTTTTTTTTTTTTTTTTGTAGCGATGGTGTTTCACTGTGTTACCTAGGCTGTTCCCAGAAAACACCTTTTTTTTTTTTTTTTTTTTTTGAGTCAGAATCTCACTCTTGTCGCCCAGGCTGGAGTGCAATGGCTCGATCTCGGCTCGCTGCAACCTCCGCCTGCCGGGTTCAAGCGATTCTCCTACTTCAGCCTCCTGAGTAGCTGGGATTACAGCCGTCGGCCACCATGCCCAACTAATTTTTGTATTTTTAGTTGAGACGGAGTTTCACCATGTTAGCCAGGCTGGTCTCGAACTCCTGACCTCAAGTGATCCACTCGCCTTGGCCTCCCAAAGTGCTAGGATTACAGGCGTGAGCCACCATGCCCGGCCGAAAACACCATTTTTTAATGACTGCATACTACTTCACCCAGAAATATTCCATGATTTATTTAATCCATTTCCTTATCCTGGACAGTTCCAGTATTACCTTTTCCTTGGAAGGTGCAATTATCTTTTTTTTTTCTATTTATTATTTATTTACTTATTTAGAAACGGTCTTTCTCTGTCGCCCAGGCTGGAGTGCAGTGGCGCGATCTCGGCTCATTGCAGTCTCCACCTCCCAGGCTCAGGCGATCCTCCCGCCTAAGCCTCCTTAGTAGCTGGGACCACAGATGCGCGTCACCACGCCCGGGTAATTAAAAAATTTTTTAAAAAATAGGCCGGGCGCGGTGGCTCATGCCTGTAATCCCATCACTTTGGGAGGCCGAGGCGGGCGGATGACCTGAGGTCGGGAGTTCGAGATGAGCCTGACCAACATGGAGAAACCCCGTCTCTACTAAAAATACAAAATTAGTTGGGCATTGTGGCGCATGCCTGTAATCCCAGCTACTCAGGAGGCTGAGGCAGGAGAATCGCTTGAATCTGGGAGGCGGAGGTTGCGGTGAGCCGAGATCGCGCCATTGCACCGCAGCCTGGGCAACAAGATTGAAACTCCGTCTCAAAAAAAATACAAAATAAAAATAAATAAAGATAAAAATTTATTTTAAGAGATGGAGGTCTCCATGTTGGTCAGGCTGGTCTCGAACTCCCAGGCTCAAGCCATCCTCCCTCCTCGTCCTCCAAAAGTGCTGGGATTACAGGCGCGAGCCACCGCGCCCGCCGGCGCAATTATCACCGATGCTGCATTGAGTGAGCATTATAGCGTGTTCCTTCACTCATCGAAATACCTTTACATACATTTTTGTAAAAAACAAAAACGACCCCGCCCCGCAGACTCAGGAGAAAAGCAGCCAGGAGCGGTGGGTGGGAGGGTGCTGCGAGCTGGGGCTCCGCAGCGTAGCTGGGTGCGGGTCCTGAACCGGCGCAGGGGCCTTTCGACGGGCGCCGGGCACTCCGGCTGGCGGCGCGCTGGGCCTGGGGCCCGCAGGTCCCAGGCGCCCCGCCCCAACGCATGCGCGCGCACTGCCCTTCCCGAGCCGGGCCCCCCGAGCGCGTGGCCGCGGTTTCCTCCCCAGCTGCCCGCGGGGGCTTCCGGGGGTACAGGAAGGTCCCGCCCCGCTCGGGCGGGGCCAGCGCACCGACGTGGCGCCCTCCGCGGCTCTGCTCGCCGGGGTGGCGCGGTGACCTGCACACCCCCCTGCCTGCAAGCTGCGCGCGGTCGAGCCGGGCCGTTCTGCTGGGCGCCCGGACCTTGTCGTTTTTTAGGATAAATGCCTCGGGCGTATTTCGGGTCGAGGGCTCGGGTCCCATATTACTAAATTTGCCCCAGAAAGGCTGAGCGCCCCCCTCCGTGCCGAGCCAGAGGGCGACTGCTGGAAGGGCTCACCTTTACCTGGAGTCCCTTGGGTGTCTCTTGGCGTTCTCAGAGGAAGAACTTTTGGATGAAGTCGCGTGTGTTGGTGGGGATGGGACTCGGGTGGTCGCCAGGAGCAGGAGTCTAGTGATGAGGGGTCCCAGAGGGTTTGGGTGGCAACCTCCGGTAACCTTTGGCGCTAGGAAGTTTTTGTTGTTGTTGAACTACTGTAGTAGGAGCGTAATCAATAAGTAGTAGGAGCATAATCAATGCTGTATATGCTGGTGTTGGTGGTGGTGCTGGGTTGGGATGTATACAGGGTCATCCTGGCCCACAGCCTCCTCCCAGGGCAGACTGAAGCTGCAAGGGCCTATTATTTGTGCATTTTTCTCCATGTAAGTCCTCAGCACTGCATCTCTAGCTTCACTGAGTTAGAGGGGCCTGGAGGAGCCTCCCCTGGGTTTGCAGCCTCAAGGGGCTCTGGTAGGATCCCTCGCTGGAGGTGGAGAAGCGGATATGAGAATAGGAGGGATTGTACACCCTGCCTTGCTGCCGAGGAGGGGCGTTTCCTTCTCTTCTTGGGTAGGCTTGGCAAAGATCAAGGTCATTTTTGGCTGTGCTGGGGAGGAGGGCAGGCGGTGGGTCACCCTTTTTGAGTGCTCAAGGCGTTAATAGGTCTCCAGAAGAAGCAGGCCTCCTGCTCTGAGCCAGATTCCACCGTTCCCCTCCTGAATCAAATCCGTGGCCAGCCTGGGTGGGAAGCAGGGTGGGCTGCTGTCCTTGCGGACCAGGCTGTGAGGCTGCTGTGTCCAGACAGGGGGTTGGCCTCATTTCCTGCAGTTCTGAGGAGCTAGTGACACCTGCGGACCTGGATGAAGTCCATCTGGGCTCCTTGAACCCATTAAGGATGGCTAATGAAGAGAGCCCTGGGCTCACCTGCACTTAACTGGCTCTGTGATTCCCCCTTAATGGGCCAGTCACTTGACCTCTCTGAGTTGTGGTGTATTCACCTGCAGTGGGTGAACATTCTGCCTTAACCAACTTCTCAAAGAGTGGCTGTGGGAAGGCACATAAGGCAGTGCTTATAGAAGGCCCTGGTGCGGCCGGGCGCAGTGTAATCCAAACACTTGGAGGCTGAGGCACGTGGGTCACTTGAGGTCAGGAGTTCGAGACCAGCCTGGCCAACATGGTGAAACCCCGTCTCTGCTAAAAATACAAAAAATTAGTAGAGCATGGTGGCGCACAACTGTAATCCGATTTACTCAGGAGGCTGAGACAGCAGAATCGCTTGAACCTGGGAGGCAGAGGTTGCAGTGAGCCGAGATCGCACCACTGCACTCCAGCCTGGGCAACAGAGTGAGGCTCTGTCTAAAAAAAAAGAAGAAGAAGCCGCTGGTAGCTGAGAGCCTACTCCAGTGGCCAATCTGTCCTCTCTCAGGGACTGGCCTCCCCTAGATTATGAATGCGAGGCCAGAGACTTAGAAATTATTTCTCTTTGTCTCCCTCTGTACATGTTCTTACCTAATTACTCATCACACTTGTCCACTGAATTTAAAAAATTAGAAATTAAAGAAAGGCATAAAGAAGAAAATAAAATACTGAACCACCTGGTGGCTACATGAGTATGTTATCGAAACTCAACTAATATAGGTACAGATTATTGTATGCAAAGTATAGGTCAATAAAATTTTTATTTTAAAAGTTTATTTTAAAAATCCCACCACTACTGACATTTTAGAATATTTACTTCTCAATTTTGTTTTTTTTGGGGGTTTGGAGTCTCCCTCTGTCGCCCAGGCTGGAATGTAGTGGCACGATCTTGGCTCACTGCAACCTCCACCTCCCAGGTTCAAGCAATTCTCCTGCCTCAGCCTCCCGAGTAGCTGGGATTACAGGCGCACGCTACCACACCCGGCTAACTTTTTGTATTTTTAGTAGAGATGGGAGTTTCACCATGTTGGTCAGGCTGGTCTCAAACTCCTGACCTGAGGTGATCTGCCTGCCTTCGCCTCCCAAAGTGCTGGGATTACAGGCGTGAGCCACCGCGCCCGGCCTACTTCTTGATTTCTTATATATAGCATACATTATATTATAGATACATGGGTAAATATATATGTGTATATACATATAAATGTATATGTCTATAAATGTAACATTTATATAGAAGGTAAATGTATATACAATGTAGATGTATATATACATGTAGATGTATATAAACATACATATGTAAGTCTGTGTGTATATATACACATATGCATACACACACAAACACATTTAGAGTTTGTTTTGTAAATAAAAATGGATCAAGATGTGCCATTCTTTGTGAGCTGGGGCTTCTGTAGATGTGGCTGGCTGGCATCTCCACCTTCAGAAGGCCTTATGCACTCCTCACTATGGAGCTGGGCTGGGCCCGCTGGACCCCGAGCCATGCCACGGTGCTTCTTGAACTGGAGTCACTCGGGGTGGGGAGGCAGCCTGCCCCACAAAAGCAGCACCCCCTGGACTTAGCCACGCCTCTCTAGTCAGCCCCTCTGGAAGGGCCTCTCAGGCCCTGGGGATCCTAGGCAGAGGACGCTCTAGGCCTGTGGACAAGCCTGGGAAAGAAGCCAATAAAGGAGCAATTTCGAAGTGAGAACGTCCAGAAACGTGCTGATGGCCTAGGTGGGAGGAAGGCCCAGTTGGAGGAGGAGAGGGAGGGCAGTGGCATGGGTTAGGGTCAGGAGATGTGTCAGGCGGAACACAGAATCCTGTCTGGCTGATAAAATGGGGCTTGGCAGAGCTTGGAATAGATAGGGAGGGTTAAGAGCTGCGAGGCGGAAGATGCTTGAGGTGGGATTGATGAGAGGAAAAGGGTCCCAAGAACTGCCATCTGGATTTCTGTATAGCTGAAGGCCATATGCAAAGGTCTGGCTGCGTAGAATGGGCTATCTACATCCAAAGGGCAGAGAGAGGGGCCCCTCAAATGCTGGATGGAGCAGCAGGAGCTGCCTTCATTTCCAGCATGAAATTGGGCTGCTGTCACCATGACAGAAACTTTCTGATCAGCTCGTCCTCCACCCCTTGAACCCCAGCAGTCGAATCATACTGTGCTTGTCATGGTGACATATTACGGGACCAAGTGCGTAACAGAAAGTAAATGGACTCTGAGAGAGTCCAGAAGGATGCCTGGATTGTTCGCAGAATTGAACAGACCTTAGGAACTGGAACTAATACTTGATTCTCTCTCCTCTCTTCTCGCACTGTCTCTCTCTCCTCTCTTGCTCTTGCTCTCTCGTGCTCTCTTCAAGTCTGTCTTGTTTTTGTTTGGCTCTGCTTGGCCTCCTCTGTAAACAGTCTGACTCCAGGTGGGGGAAACTTGCCCCCTGACATCCCTGAATTCACATGCTCCTAGCTTACAGCCTTGGTGGAATTTTCCCCAGAGCCTTCTATCAACTCCAGAGAAGAATTCTGACTGGTCCTGCTCAGTCTGGCACCATCTCATTATTGGGTAGTCTGATTGCCCAGGCTGGAGGGCTATGGCTGAAGGACCAAGGGCAGCCTGTTTCCAGAAGGAAATGGGATGGAAAGGGGCTGGTCAGCACTAAAACAATAGCAACCAGAGGCCGTTACACATGGTTTTCAGGATAAAGTAAAAAAAATCGGCCGGGCACGGTGGCTCACTCCTATAATCCCAGCATTTTGGGAGGCCGAGGTGGGTGGATCACGAGGTCAAGAGATCGAGACCATCCTGGCCAACATGGTGAAACCCCGTCTCTACTAAAAATACAAAAATTAGCTGGGTGTCGTGGCACGCACCTGTAGTCCCAGCTACTTGGGAGGCTGAGGCAGGAGAATCGCTTGAACCCAGGAGGCAGAGGTTGCAGTGAGCCAAGATCGCGTCACTGCACTCCAGCCTGGCAACAGAGTGAGACTCAGTCTAAAAAAAAAAAAAGTCAAGATAGCAGAGGCCCTCCATCAAAGAGCATGCTGTCTAGTTAGGGAGATGAACTTGGAACAACAGAGGGCAACAGAAAGTGCTACTGGTGGCTGTCCTCAGACCACTTTGAGACCACTCAGCTCTTGAAAAAATTAGAGTACAAACATGGTATCCCTACTCTGTAACCAATTAACTCACATTTTTTAGGCCACAGCAGCTGGAGGAATCAACCCTAGGAAGATGGATCCTAATTATGGCAGGAGTGCAGTGTGGCAAAGCAGAAAATGCAGACAGATTGAGTTTAAATCCTAGCCCTCTACCAGCTGTGATAATCAACTCAACCTTTTTAAAGACTCAGCAAATAAAATTGACACAATTAGTAGCCTCCTTCCTAGGCTGTTGTGAGGATTAAGATATGTATATTAGGTGTTCACTAGAGGATATAAACGAGTACTCAATAAATGAGATGTAGCCAGGTGCGGTGGCTCACACCTGTAATCCCAGCACTTTGGGAGGCCAAGGCAAATGGATCAGTTGAGCTCAGGAGTTTGAGATCAGCCTAGGCTACATAGTGAAACCCTGTCTCTACAAAAAGTACAAAAATTAGCTGAGTGTTGTGGCTCGTGCCTGTGGTCCCAAGCTACTTGGGAGGCTGAGGTGGGAGGATCGCTTGAGCCTGGGAGGTTGAGGCTGCAGCGAGCCAAGATTGCACCACCGCACTCCAGCCTGGGAGACAGAGTGAGACTCTGTCTCAAAAAAATAAACAAGTTGCAACCTTATGGTACAGTATTAAGACTTATTACTAACAATGACTCTTGCTGCTGTGGGCGGAAAGCCACCCAGGTGCCGAAGCAAGAGACTGAAGGCACAAACTGTTCCAGTATAATAAAGAAAATAGAATAAGAAAAGTTATACTAGAAATAGGATATAGAGATGATTATATATGGATATTATCAATCATTAGTTTTAGTATTAATCTGTGCTTTACTATTATAACCGAGGAATAACCAGCCAGTACAGTCAGGAGCTGAAGGAACATTGTGAGAAGTGACCAGAAGATAAGAGTGTGAGCCCTCTGTCAGGCCGGACATGGTGGCTCACGCCTGTAATCCCAGCACTTTGGGAGGCCAAGGCAGGCGGATCACGAGGTTAGGAGATCGAGACCATCCTGGCTAACACGGGGAAACCCCATCTCTACTAAAAATACAAAAAATTAGCTGGGTATGGTGGCGGGCGCCTGTAGTCCCAGCTACTCGAGAGGCTGAGGCAGGAGAATGGCATGAACCCGGGAGGCAGAGCTTGCAGTGAGCCGAGATCGCACCACTGCACTCCAGCCTGGACGACAGAGTGACTTCGTCTCAAAAAAAAAAAAAAAAAAAAAAGAGCGTGAGCCCTCTGTCACGCCCGGATAAAGGCCGCTTGTGGGCTTGTGTTCCTGGGAAGGCACCTGTTACTTAGCGGACCATGAAAGGGGGTTTCCCTTTCCTTGGAAGAGTTAGAGAACACCTGCTCCACCAGCCTCTTGTGGGAGGTTGGACATCAGCCAGTCTACCCACAGACATCCGGAGGCTTAAACGTCTCCCTGTGGTGCTGTGCTTCGGTGGTCACACTCGTTCACTTTCATGTTCTGCCTATATACCTGGTTCCCCTCTTAAGTCCTTAGAAGATAGCAGTAGCAGAAATAGTGAAAGTATTAAAGTCTTTGATCTCTGATAAGCACATAGAAAAAAGGCTGATGCATGATGTCCTCCCTCTGCTTCAGCTACCACAAAGGGAAGGGGCCCCCTGTCCGGTGGACACGTGACTTGCTTGACCTTATCAATCACTTGACATGACTCACTCTCCTTATCCTGCCCCCTTGCCTTGTATACAATAAATAGCAGTGCATCCAGACATACGGGGCCACTACCGGACTCTGCACATTGGTGGTAGTGGCCCCCTGGGCCCAGCTGTCTGTCATACTCTCTCTTAGTCTTGTGTCTTATTTTTCTACAATCTCTCGTCTCCGCACATGAAGAGAAAACCAACAAGGCGCCATAGGGCTGGACCATACATGCTGCCACAGTGAAATTGTTGGAATCCCAGCCCCAGCTCCTTCCCTCTTTTCTGAGTGATCCTTGCTTCCCAGATGTCACCCCAAGATGCCTTTCCTGGGCAAAAGTAAGGAATCCCAGCCCTAAAAGGCAGATGGGCAGGATACTTTGAGGACCTACTTTGGGCTGGATGCCTGGCAGCTGGTTTGGCTGCAAGGCCCAGAAGCCCACTAAAGCTGCTGAAGTCAAGGGGGACTTAGAATAACCATGACAGCATTTCATGGAATTCAGTTGTAGGAGGCAGGATGGGCATCAGCGTAAGCAGGGTTTCCCAGGTGGCTGCTCTCTCTGTCTATCCTTCCATCAGGGACTGTGTATGCCCTGCCTCTGCCCTTCTGTTGATCGGGTTCCTTCCCTTGCCCTCGGTCACTGATTTCCAGCTGGCACCCTCATGGCTGACCCCAAAGGTCTCATGTCCCAGCCTTCATAACCTTCCAGTCCTTATACTGGCACCAACTGACTCTGTCTCTGACTTCACACCAAGTTTCTGGGACAGAGACTGTGGTTGCCTGGCTTGGATCAGGGTCACATGGGTTCAATGAGCCGTGACAAGTGATGGTAGAAGTGCACTGTGGCACTGCAGCCTCGACCTCCCAGGCTCAAGTGATCCTCCCACCTCAGCCTCCCAAGCAGCTGGGACCACAGGCACAGGCCACCACGCCTGGCTAATGTTTGTATTTTTTTGTAAAGACGGGGTTTCACCATGTTGCCCAGGCTGGTCTTGAACTCCTGACCATCTACTGACAAGGGATGGCTTCTTTCTTTGACAAGGGAACACTTCTAGCGGTGAACACTTCAGAGCTGGCATCCCAGGCTCTCTCCTCAGCTGCCTGTTCAAATCTGTGCTGGGTTGGTGGGCTGCCTTGTGTTCTAGCTTGGCTGATAATATCTGGAGAAGAAGAAGAAGAAGAAGACGTGTGAACACTTTGAAATCGAAATGTTGGTGTTAGTTTCCTAGGGCTGCTATAACAAAGTACCAGAAACCAGGTGGCTTAAAACACAGAAACTTATTGTCCCACAGTTCCGGAGGCTTAGAAGTACAAAATCAAGGTCACAGCCACTTTCCCTCTGTGTCTGCGTCCTCGTATGGCGTTCTCCTTTTTATGGGTATCCACATTTCCCTCTGTTATTTTTATTTATTTATTTATTTATTTATTTATTTATTTATTTATTTATTTTGAGACAGAGTCTTGCTCTGTCGCCCAGGCTGGAGTGCAGTGGCGCGATCTCGGCTCACTGCAAGCTCCACCTCCTGGGTTCACTCCATTCTCCTGCCTCAGCCTCCCGAGTAGCTGGGACTACAGGCGCCTGCCACCAAGCCCGGCTAATTTTTTGTATTTTTTTTTAGTGGAGACGGGGTTTCACCATGTTAGCCAGGATGGTCTCGATCTCCTGACCTCGTGATCCACCCGCCTCGGCCTCCCAAAGTGCTGGGATTACAGGCGTGAGCCACCGAGCCCCAGACTATTTATTTATTTTTTTGGAGACAAGTTCCCGCTCTGTTGCTCAGGCTGATGTGCAGTGGTGCAATCACGGCTCACTGCAGCCTCCATCTCCCAGGCTCCTCCCCCATCAGACTCCCAATAGCTGAGACTACAGAAGTGAGCCACTATGCTCGGCCCATCTCCCTCTTATATAGACACCAGTTCTATTGGATTACGGCCCACCCCAGTGACCTCATCTTAACCTGATTACATCTGCAAAGACCCTATTTCCAAATAAGGTCACATTCACAGCTACAGGACTTCAATCTATATCTTAGGGATTTACAGTTGAGCCCGGTTATAAGTGTCCACACTGGGTATGGTGGTGTGTATGTATAGTCCAGCTATGTAGGAGGCCAAGGCTGGAGGATCGCTTGAATCCAGGAGTTTGAGACCAGCCTGGGCAACATAGTGAGACCCCCATCTCAAAAAGAAGAAAAAGACTAAAATGTCCGTAAATAAAATGTAGTGGGAATACAGCCATGCTCATTCTATGGATCGTTGTGACAGAGACTATACACAAAGCTTAATATATTTACTATCTAGGCCTTTACAGAAAAAGTGTACCATTCCCTGCCTTAAAGGATGGGGTGGGAGTTCACAGGACAGAGAAGGCCAAGGGCGTCTTAGGCTGAGAGGACAGCAAAGCCAACCACAGCAAAGGTCAGCAGTACAGCTGGTGGACGGTGGTCCTGGAGCTCTGGAAAACAAGGCATCTCAAGAGTTCGAGTTAAAATAGAAAGCATCTTGAGTTGAACACCTTCAGGATCATGGCTTCAGCTTTTCTCCCTGGTGGAGAGGACAGTGTGGGAACTGGAACCCTTTCACACAAGCAGCCCAGGACGTATCTGGAAGGAGAAGAGGCCTGGGAGGAGCCCAGGATGTCTGTGGAGTGACCTCAGCTGGTCCACTGGAGGGAAACCCAAGTCAGGCTGACTGTTTTTCTCTGGGAGAGCCAAGGGAACCCCAGGGGCACTGCGTTATTTGCTCCTTTCCTGTCTGATTGCATTTTCCTCTGGCTGCCCCAGGGAACCTGTTTCTGAGCCTGATGGTCCACTTCCAAAGACCAGGCCTCTTGCAGCGGGAAATGTTTGGGAAGCCCCTTGTGACGTCTCCTCCCTGCCTGGTGGAGAGACTTCCCTTTTTGGTAGTAGCTGGTCTGTGAGTGGTGAGACCACAAAAGATCAAGGGACCCCCCGGAGGGTTCACTTTTTCAGTGTGTTTGTCAGCTGACTGTGCTCAGGGAGGGCCTGGAGGATGTTACCTGAGTTTGGCAAAAAGGACCTCATAGTAACCTTGCTAGGTAGATACGGCAGGGGAAATTATCCCCGCTTGACTGTTGAGAAACTGCAGTTCAAAGAATGTTCGTTGATTTGCTCAAGACGGTATGGCTAGTCCTGGCAAGGCTAGGCGGCATCTCTGCCTTCTGCCATCCTGGCCCACCATTCTCTCCTTTCTTTCACCTGCCTTTTCTAGCTCAACTTATCCCCTCTTTTTATTTATTATTTTTTGAGACGGAGTCCCGCTCTGTTGCCCACGCTGGAGTGCAATGGCGCGATCTTGGCTCACTGCAACCTCTGCCTCCCAGGTTCAAGCGATTATCCTGCTTCCGCCTCCTGAGTAGCTGGAATTACAGGCACGCGCCACCATGTCCAGAGAATTTTTGTATATTTTTAGTAGAGATGGGGTTTCACCATGTTGGTCAGGCTGGTCTCAAATTCCTGTCTCGGCCTCCCAGAGTGTTGGGATTATAGGCCTGAGCCACCGCACCTGGCCTTCCCCTCTTTTAATTGATAAGATGACATAGCAGCATTAAAGATAAATATTTAAACTAAAATCTCTCGGCTGGGCACAGTGGCTCACGCCTGTAATCCCAGCACTTTAGGAGGCCGAGGCAGGTGGATCACGAGGTCAGGAGATCGAGACCATCCTGGCTAACACGGTGCAACCCTATTGCTACTAAAAAAAATTAAAAAAAATAGCCGGGCGTGGTGGCGGGTGCCTGTAGTCCCAGCTACTTGGGAGGCTGAGGCAGGAGAATGGCGTGAACCCGGGAGGCGGAGCTTGCAGTAAGCCGAGATTGTGCCACTGCACTCCAGCCTGGGCGACAGAGCGAGACTGTGTCTCAAAAAAAAAAAAAAAAGAAAGAAAAGAAAAGAAAATCTTTCAAATACCACCATTTATATAACACATTTCTACATATGCACACGTGTGCTTTAAAAAACAGCTCTAGGCCGGGAGTGGTGGCTCACGCCTGTAATCCCAATACTTTGGGAGGCCGAGGTGGGTAGATCACCTGAGGTCAGGAGTTTGAGACCAGCCTGGCCAACATGGTGAAACCCTGTCTCTACTAAAAATACAAAATTAGCCAGGTGTGGTGGCACACGCCTATAATCCCAGCTACTTAGGAGGCTGAGGCAGGAGAATTGCTTGAACCCGGGAGGTGGGGGTTGCAGTGAGCCGAGAGCGCACCATTGCACTCCAGCCTGGGCAACAAGAGTGAAACTCTGTCTCAAAAGAAAAAAAGAAAAAGAAAAAAAAACCCAGCTCTAGTAAAATTGTAATTTACAATTGTGATAACACTGTATAGAACAAAACACACAAGTATAAGTAACATTTGGGAAATCTGCATTAGATCAGCAGGTTACATCCCTGTCAATATGCTGGTTGTGATATTGTACTATAGTTCTGCAAGATGTTACCATTGGGGAAAACTGGGTAGAGGTGGGATCTCTGTATCATTTCTTTTTTTTTTTTTTTTTCTTGAGACGGAGTCTCACTCTGTCACCAGGCTGGAGTGCCGCGGCCCGATCTTGGCTCACTGTAACTTCTGCCTCCCGGGTTCAAGCGATTCTCCTGCCTCAGCCTCTCGAGTAGCTGGGACTACAGGCACATGCCACATGCCCGGCTAATTGTTGTATTTTTAGTAAAGACGGAGTTTCACCATGTTGGCCAGGATGGTCTCAATCTCTTGACCTCATGATCTGCCCGCCTCGGCCTCTCAAAGTGTTGGGATTACAGGCGTGAGCCACCGCGCCCGGCCTATATTTTCTTATAACTGCATGTGAATCTGCAAGTATCTATATAACATTTTCGATTAAAAGAAAAAGCAATTCTGAAGGAGTTGAGATCCATGAGAATTTACCATTTCATGTTAAACCATTTTTCATTAAGATTACATTATAAACATTTCCCCGTGTTTCTACAGACCTTGCAATAATCACTTACTGGCTACACGGCATTCCATCTAGTGGGTGTAAAACCGTTCCCTTAACCATTCTCCCTTGCTAGGTGGCGAGGTTGTTTTCAATTTTTAGCTCACACTAATAATGCCATAATGAACATGATTATGCCTAGGGCACGGTTATTCCTTTGAATTATTTCATTAGGATACATTCCCAGGGAGTGGGGTGCCTGGGCATAAGGTTCTGGACCTTTATGACTGTATTAGGTATTATTAATTTAATATTATATCCTTATTATTGCCCTTTCTAAGGTACAGATCGGCTTTTCCCCAAGTGAGCAAAAGTTCTCTGGCGCGCCTTTCAGCATTCAGATTTGTGGGGGAAAACCTAGGGGCCCCCCACTTGTTTCCGCCTGCACAGTGTCAGGCCAGAGATTTGAGTGGCAGAATGACAGAGGCAGCAGAGTGCAGCTAGAGGAGCTGTCACGGGCGTCACCCTCCCACGGGGCCCGGGCGGGCGTCCGGGGACCTCCTGGGACTCGGTGGCGCCGGCTACCTTCTCCCCAGAGCAGCAGAGGCCGTGAGGGGCCCTGCGGGGCCATGAGGGCGCGCGGCTTTCTTGAAAACAGAGCAGCCTCTGCTCACCCTGCAGGCGCTCTGGAGCTGCAGGAGGCCATTTCTAGAAGGCACCGGATTCGGCCTAATGCGGTGGCGAGGCCGCTGCGTCCCTCGGAGCCCGGTGGGGAGGCCCTGGGTGCCGCGCCCCAAGGCTCGCGGGCGATTGCCGCCCGTGAGGCGCCGCCGGGGAAGTCCGGAGCCCTGGCGTCCCCAAAGCCGTCCGCGGCTCTGCGTCCCAGTCCCGGGCGAGCGCCGCGCAGAGGCCCGAGGACCCCACGCCTGGGTGGGGAAGGCGCGGCCTCGCCATCTTGCTGGGCCACGGGCGCTCGGCGCAGGCGTGCGCGCTTGTGCAGTGTTCACCTCTTTTGGGATTTTATTCTCGTTTCATTTAATTTAACTCATTTAAAAAATTTTTTTTATTTTACTTTTTCTTTCATTTTAGTTTTGTTTTAAATTTTATTAATTTCATTAAATTTAAATTTTGTTAATTTAATTTTAATTTTAGGTGGTTTTTTTTTTCAGTTTGGATTGCCAGGTTAAATGTAGGAGGTCCAGTTAAATTCAAATTTCAGATAAGCAACAGATACATTTTTAGTATACATCTATCCTGTTTAGGATGTCCTATTTAGTATCAGAATGTCTCCAACGTTTTGTCCTGGTTTTTTGTTTGTTTGTTTGTTTGTTTTTTGCGACAAGGACTTGCTTTGTTGCCCAGGCTGGGGTGCAGTGGCACAATCATAGTTCACTGCAGCCTCCAACTCCTGGACTCAAGAGATCTTCCTGCCTCAGCCTCCAGAATAGATGTACACCACTACACTCAGCTAATGTTTGTATTTTTTGTAGAGCTGGGGGGCGTCTCGCTATTTTGCCCAAGCTGGTCTCGAACTCCTGGGCTCAAGTGATTCTCCTGCCTTGGTCTCCCAAAGTGCTGGGATTCCAGGCATGAGCCACCACTCCTGGCCTGGCCTGTATTTTTATTTGCTAAATCTGGCAACTCAATTTGTGGTAGAACCCCTTCTTTGGAGGACATCTGACTCAGAACCCTAATACCTACCCAATGACAGCGAGTGGTCTGTGTGAACTGGGGCCAGGACTAGGGGGTGCAGGAATGTGAGTGTCACCCAGTGTCTCCCAGACTGGCCTGAGGAACCCCCTGAGCAGAACCGAACCACTGAACCTCTCTTACAGGGGCTGAACTCCCCGAGGGCAAGACAGCAACAGCCGCACCAGGTAGACTCTGTACATTGGATTATTCCAGCCATGGCTGGCTCCTGTCCTCTCAAAAGTCCCTCACGGGCCGGGCACAGTGGCTCACGCCTGTACTTCCAGCACTTTGAGAGGCCTCACTTGAGGCCAGGAGTTCAAGACCAGCCTGCCCAACATGGCAAAACCCTGGCTAATACAAAAAATTAGCCAGGCATGGTGGCACACACCTGTAATCCCACCTACTTGGAGAGGCTGAGGCACAAGAATAGCTTGAACCTGGGAGGTGGAGGTTGCAGTGAACCAAGATCGTGCCACTGCACTCCAGCCTGGGCAACAGAGCGAGACTCTGTCTCAAAAAAAAAAAAAAAAAAAAAAAAATCCCTCAGGCCCATATCCTGTGAGCAACAAGCTCTGAAGGAGGGGCCCAGGTCTGCCACTATGGGATGTGGGCAAGTCACTGGCCTCAGTTTCTCCATCTGTGAAATGGGGCTGTTGTTTGGGCTGCTGGAGATAATCTATGTGAAAGTGCCTGGTGAACCTGGACACCCAGAGACTCTAAAGCATGCTTTTTACTGAGGCATAATTCACAAACAGTGACATTCCCCAATTTTAAGTATTGAACTCAGTGCATTTTGACTGATGTTTACAGTTGTGTGACCACCACAATTGCATATATATACATATACAAACATATATGTTGAAGAGTTGAAGGCCATAGCCCTTCTTTGAGGAATTCCGGGTCTGGTGGAGAAGCAGACCACGTGTACTTGACCACCACACACCTGTGTGAGCAGCAGCTCAGGAAGGAACACGGGGGCCAGCGAGGTATGCGGCCACTCTTCCGGCTGTAACGCCCTAGATAGAGCATTTAGTCTGGCCGCCTCTAACGCAGCCACATCAAGCCTTCAGTCCCACCCTTGCTGGGTCTGGAATACCCGGGCAAAGCCACATCCTCTTTCCTCTTTTATCTGGCAGAGGCTCATTCCTCTCCATGTTTCAAGGCCCAACTCAGATGCTACCTCCTCTGAGAAGCCACACCGATTTTCCTGGTGATTCTGGGACAGATTTGTGGCTCCTGCTCATTGGGCTTGGGACCTGCAGGTGGTGAGGGCTAGAGGGAGGCAGAATCTTAAAAAGGGGGTCCCCAGTGGGAAGGGCCGTGGGGTGGGCTAGGGGAGCATCATGTCCTGTAACAGGAGATGTGAATGGCAGGGCGGGATGTGGAGGTTCAGGGCGGGATGTGGAGGTTCAGGGCCAGCCCAGGAGGCTGGGGGCCAGGTCTCAGGGTACAGGCAGGGGTCCGAGCAGCCTTCCTTCTGGGCCTGTCTGCCCAGCCAGGAGAATCTGTTGGTGCTCCCCACTGGAGAGGGACCAGGGCAGGGGGAGAGTGAAGGTGTGCACAGCGGGTGGTGAGCCTGACGGGAAGGGGCCCCGCCCACAGATCTTCCCAATGTCACATGAACCAAGGAGTTATAGTTAGAAGGCACCCATTCAAGTCCTTATTCAGCAAGTGCCACGCAGGCTCCTGACTGTGCTAGCCCTGTGCCCAGGAGGGTGGGTAGTGGTGGTTGGTGGGCAGAGGCCCAAACCCCTCTGTCATCTCTGAGGCTTCCCCAGACTCTGGCTCTGTGCCTTGCCCTGCGTTAGCCCCATGGGAGCCTTGATTCTGAGACTGAGGTCTTATGGGATGTCATTTGTCATGGGGCAGAAAGGTGGGATGGGAGAGTGGCAGTGGGAACAGAGAATAGTTCTGTTCTCGCTATCCCTCCTGTCAGTTTTGCTTTTTAAGTAAATCTGGAATCCATTTGTTTCTTTTCAGCTAAGAGTGCCACTGTTCCAGCCACATCATTTCGTACCTGGATGGCCACAGATCTCTCCACAACTCACTTAGGCCCCTGTGGTCAGTTCAGGCCACTGCAGTCTGTATGATCTGAAAGCAGTAGCAGCAGCAGTGGCGGCGACTTTTGATACTATTACAAAAAGTAGGTGGGGTGTGGTGGCTCAGGTCTGTAATCCCAGCACTTTGGGAGGCCAAGGAAGGAGGATCCCTTGAGCCCAGGAGCCTGAGACCAGCCTGGGCAACATCGCGAGACCTTATCTCTACTGAAAAAACAAACAAACAAAAACAATTAGCCAGGTGTGGTGGCAAGGGCCTGTAGTCCCAGCTACCCAGGAGGCTGAGGTGGGAGGATTGCTTGAGCCTGGGAGATACAGGCTGCAGTGAGCTATAATTGCACCACGGTACTCCAGCCCGGGCAACAGAGTAAGACCCTGTCTCAAAAAGCAAGCAAACAAACAATGATTAAAAAAAATATAAAATAAAAAACCTCAAAAGCAATACCTTCTTTTTTTGAGACAGTCTCACTCTGCCACCCAGGCTGGAGTGCAGTGGTGCAATCTCGTCTCACTGCAACCTCCGACTCCCAGGTTCAAGCGATTCTCCTGCCTCAGCTTCCCGAGTGGCTGGTATTACAGGTGCGCATCACCACACCTGGCTAATTTTTGTATTTTTAGTAGAGACGGGGTTTTGCCATGTTGGCCAGGTTGGTCTTGAACTCCTAACCTCAGGTGATCCACCCGCCTCAGCCTCCCAAAGTTCTGGGAATACAGGTGTGAGCCACGCACCTGGCCTCAAAAGCAGTACCTTCTTATGGCAATAACTCAAATACTAAAGGAGGATTTTAGGTGAAAGTCAAAGACAGACTCCCCTTTGCCCTCATCCCCAACCTCCAGGCCTGCTTCTCAGAGCAACTTGTTTCTTCTGTAACTCTTCCAATTTTTTTCAAAGTATATAAATGATTTTCTACGTGTGTGTATATGTAATTGCATGTGTATCGTTATATAGGTGTGTATGTATGTAACCTTAAAAATCAAATGATGAGACTTTGGCACCATGTATTTTTCCCTTGAAAGTACCCGCTGGGGCTCTGTTCGTGTTAACACGCCTGAGGACTGCCGTCCTTGTTTCCCAGTGTTTTGCTCTTACAGATAATGCTGCAGTGAAATCAATCCTTAGATGTGGAATTGCTGGCTTCTGGATATGCGCGCTTAAAATGTTGATAGCTAGTGCAAATTGCCTTTCACGATGGCTCTGCTGATTTCCATTTCCATAAATAATCCAATCTTTCTCCTCACTCTTAAAAATGCTTCCCCATCTGATAGGTGAAAAATGGTATCTTACCTTCATTTGTCTTTTAAAAATTATGAGGCCAGGCGCAGTGGCTCATGCCTATAATCCCAGCACTTTGGGAGGCCGAGGCAGGTGAATCACTTGAGGTCAGGAGTTCGAGACCAGCCTGGCCAACATGATGAAACACTGTCTCTACTAAAAATACAAAAAAAAATTAGCCAGGCATGGTGGTGGGCGCCTGTAATCCCAGCTACTCAGGAGGCTGAGGCAGGAGATTCACTTGAACCCAGGTGGCGGAGGTTGCAGTGAGCCGAGATTGCACCACTGCACTCCAGCCTGGGTGACAGAGTGAAACTCCAAAACAAACAAACAAACAAAATTATGAGTGAGTGAAGTGGAGCATTTGACATATCTCTTACACGCATGAATCTTTTTCTGCTGTGTGTTCTCTTGCTTCTTCTTTCTACTGGGTTCTTTATCTGTGGTTTATTGATTTCTTTTCTTTTCTTTTCTTTTTTCTTTTCTTTTCTTAGATGGAGTCTTGCTCTGTCACCCAGGCTGGAGTGCAGTGGCACGATGATCTCGGTTCACTGCAACCTCCACCTCCTGAGTTCAAGTAATTCTCCTGCCTCAGCCTTCTGAGTAGCTGGGGTTACAGGTGCCCGCCACCATGGCTGGCTAATTTTTGTGTTCTTAGTAGAGACGGAGTTTTGCCATAGTGGCCAGGCTGGTTTCCAACTCCTGACCTCAAGTGATCCTCCTGCCTTGGCCTCCCTAAGTTCTGGGATTACAGGTGTGAGCCACCGCGCCTGGCCAGTTTATTGATTTCTTCTTCTTCTTTTTTTTTTAGATGGAGTTCCCCTCTTGTTGCCCAGGCTGGAGTGCAATGGTGGGATCTCAGCTCACTGCAACCTCTGCCTCCCGGGTTCAAGCGATTTTCCTGCCTCAGCCTCCGAAGTAGCTGGGATTACAGGCATGAGCCACGGTGCCCGGCCTGGTTTATTGATTTCTAAGCATTCTTTGTAGTTGAGGAAACTGGCACATGGACTCTCATATTGTTGCAAATGTTTCCCCCAACTAATCTTTAAGTATTTTTGTCATAAGGAGTTTTATATTTTTTAGACTCAAATTAAGAATAGAGTCATGTTTTGTTCTCATGTGCTGATGATTCCACTTGTACATTTACGTTTTTGGTCTACCTGCAATTTATTTTGATATCAAGGAGAAAGGTGTGGCTCCACATGTAATTGTTTTCTAGGTGGCCAGCCATTTCCCCAGTACTATTTACTGAATAATCCATTTTCCCGACTGGTGTCGTTTTGCCTTTATCATATTCTAAATTTCCACATATACTTGGGTCTCTTTTAGTGTCTCTGTTGTGTTCTGTTGATCTTACTGCCTGTTCTTGTACGTGTGCCAAATTGCTTTATTTCTTCCAGGTTTCTAATGTATTTTTACTATGTGGTAGGGTTACTTTTTAGAGATTTACTGGCTATCTGCACTTAATATATTTTCCAGATGAATTTTCGTGTTATTTTATGGGTCTAGTGGGAAGGCAGCATGAAACACATCATTATAAAAGTCATTTAATCATATTGTCATAAGTGCTGCAGAGGGAAAGTCCTGGGAATTGGGAAAGGAGACAGCACGGGCCCTAAGATTTGGGTTTTATGTATCTGGCAAATATATAGGTAAATTTAAAGAGGCTTAACATTTCCACAATACTGACTTTTGTTTAAAACAAAATCTGTCTTTCCATTTATTCAAGTCTTGTTTTATGTCCCTCAGTAAAGTTTACAACTTTTCTTTAGAAATGTTTTACATACTCCTTGATAAATCAATTTCTAAACAGTTTGTTCTTTGTGTTGCTCTTATGAATGGACTCTTTTCTTCCAGTTAGTGTATTTTCTAACTGGTAGTGTCGTTACAGGGGACTTTTCTAAAAGGCCAGTCGCGCTCAAAAGTGCTCTGCCCCTTCAGTGGCTTCCTGTTCCTGCAAGGATCTCCCACACTTCCCAACCGGCTGACAAAGTCCTGTGAGGTCTGGCCCGCTCCCCTTCTCCCCTTCCTCCTCTGTTCTGTGTGCTCCAGGTGCTCACACAGCGCTCTCTCACTGCCGGGCCAGATGGCTCCTCTGAACCCCTGAGTTCTTAGCATAAAGAAGACTTCCTCAGGGAAGTGGATCCGGGATTGAGCCGGGGCTCCTGTACAACAATGTGATGACAATCATTCCTGTGGTCACGTTTTCCATGCTGCCTCTCCACAGCCTGTACTCCAAGAGGGCACAGGACTCTGCCTGTCTCCTTCCTTCTTTCTCTTCCTCTCCTTCCTTCTCTTCTTCTTCTTTCCTCTTTCTTCCTTCTTCTTTCTTTTTTTTTTTTCTTTGACAGGGTCTCGCTTTGTAGCCCAGGCTGCAGGGCATTGGCGCAATCATGGTTCCCTGCAGCCTTGACCTCCTGGGCTCAAGCGATCTCCTGCCCCAGCCTCCCGAGTAGCTGGTAGCAGTCATGCACCAACATGCCTGACTAATTTTTTAAAACATTTTTGTAGAGATGGGAGTCTCACTATGTTGCCCAGGCTAGTCTCGAGTAATCCTCCTGCCTCGGCACTCCCAAAGGGCTGGGGATTACAGACATGCCCCACTGCACCTGGCCTGCCTGTCTTCCTCACTGTCTCCCCAGCTGTTGAGTAAATTCACAGTATTGGGAATGGAAGTTGCATGCCCTGTTTTCTGGCCTGGGGGCTTCCTGGCATCCTGGACTTGGGGACAGTGAAAACTCATCTGGCTGGCAGACCTCTCAGCCAGCTTCCCTCACTCCTGCCAATAAAGAGACTGAAAGCTGAAAGCTTCATTGTTTTGTTTTGTTTTGTTTTGTTTTTTTGAGATGGAGTCTTGCTCTGTTGCCCAGGCTGGAGTGCAGTGGCAAATTTTTGTATTTTTAGTAGAGATGAGGTTTCACCAGATTGGTCAGGCTGGTCTCGAACTCCTGACCTCAGGTGATCCACCCGCCTCGGCCTCCCAAAGTGCTGGGGTTACAAGCAAGCTGAAAACTTCTTCTTCTTCTTTTTTTTTTTTTTTTTTTTTGAGATGGAGTTTCGCTCTTGTTGCCCAGACTGGACTGCAATGGCACGATCTCGGCTCACTGCAACCTCTGCCTCCCAGGTTCAAGTGATTCTCCTGCCTCAGCCTCCCAGGTAGCTGGGATTACAGGTGCGTGCCACCACATCCGGCTAATTTTTGTAATTTTAGAAGAGACGGGGTTTCGCCATGTTGGCCAGGCTGGTCTCAAACTCCAGACCTCAGGTGATCCGCCTGCCTCGGCCTCCCAAAGTGCTGGGATTACAGGCGTGAGCCACCACGCCCCGCAAACCAGTGATTTTTAATTGTTTTGTTCACGGCCATTGCCTGAGACAGTAGGCGCTTGGTAAACACTTCATTGGATCAGTGAACTAGGTTTAAAATAGGCATAAGAGTGAAAGCTCCCGTGGCAGCAAGGGTATCAAGGTAACGGGATTACTTTGTATTCCTGTATTATATGTCTCCCAGGATGTCTTTAAGGGAATTAAGGAACTTGTAAAATGAAAAAAAATTCCGTTTCCCGTGATGGTACTGCACCGGGTGGCCACCAGAGGGCAGGGCTGCCCTACTGTCAGGGATTGTAACCACCAGACCGAGTCTTCTAAAGTCTTAAATAATGCAGGGCTTTAGGTACAGGTCACAGAGCCTCCCACCTGGGGACCTTCACGGTGACAAGACTCAATCCCCATTTCTCCCTCACCGAATCTCGGCTTCCTAGACTGAGGCAGAAGCATCTCTCTCTTGCTCTTGTGTGAAGAATACAGTCTGTCTCACTGGGCCCACACCTTCGTTCTTGAGTAGTGAGCCCTTCTGAGCGCTCTTTCTGGGATCAGCAGTGAATAGAAGGCAGTTCCTACCCTCTTGGAGCGTGTCCCAGGCTTGCTAACCCTTAGATTCACACAGGAAAGCTCAGGTTTGGAGAGATGCCAAACCCTGCAAAAAAGCCAAGAGCTTAACTTAGGAACCTAGATTTATTCATTGCTGTATCCACTCAGCAGGCACCTGGTACTGACTCCTATGGCTGGGGCTTGTGTGAGGGTTCATTCATTCTCCCCAAAGATGTCTGGAATGCTTGTTCTCTACGGATGCTGCTCCAGGACTAGCGGAGGCAACAGTTTCTATTCTCAGGAAGCTCACAGTGTGGTAGTGGTGGGGAATAGGCCATAAACACATAAATATATAACGTAAAGCTGGTGATAAATGCTATGAAGAAAACCAAGCAGGATAGGCACATTGAGAGTGATGAGCTGGGGTGCTATTTTGTATAAGGAGGTCTGGGAAATCTCTGATGAGGTTTCTTCTGAACAGAGACCTTAATGAGGCGAGGGAGCAAGGGGTCAGGCTGTGCAAAGGCCCAGAGGCAGGAGGGTGGGAGGGAGTGTGTGTGTGTGTGTGTGTGTGTGTGTGTGTGTGTGTGTGTGTGTGTGCATGGTGGAATGCAGACCCTGTTGAGGTGCAAGATCCTGCAGATCCTTGTAGGCCATCGTAGACTTTGCCTTTTGCTTGGGGTGATTTGCTGTGTTTTTTTTGTGTGTGTGTTTTTGACACAGAGTCTCACTCTGTTGCCCAGGCTGGAGTGCGGTGGCATGATCTCGGCTCACCGTAACCTCTGCCTGCCAGAATCAAGTGATTCTCGTGCCTCAGCCTCCTGAGTAGCTGGGACTACAGGTGCCCACCAGCACACATGACTAATTTTTGTATTTTTAGTAGAGACGGGGTTTCGCCATGTTGGCCAGGCTGTTCTCGAACTTCTGGCCTGAAGTGATCTGCCCACCTTGACCTCCCAAAGTGCTGGGATTACAGGCGTGAGCCACCATGCCTGGCTGTGGCTTGCTGTGTTGAGAATAAACTGCAGTGGTGCAAGGTAGTGGCTGGGAAACTGGCTAGGAAGCTGTTCTAATCAGCAAGAGGTGATGGTGATGGTGGTGGCTTTCACCTGGGACACTCCGTAAATGCTTGCTAAATTGAACTGAGCTGTTTTGGTCAATGCTTGCTTAAAATCATGACCTCTTGGCCCCTTGCAGAGAATGGAGAAACCACCATAGGAACAAAACTTCAAAAAAGAAACTGTCCTGATTTTGGTAGTTGGTGTTAAAAGGAAGTTTCACTCCTATTTTCAAGCAGGAACCATGGAGTTCTAAAGTGGAAAGGATCCTGGCCAGAAATGCTGTACGGACCTTCAGTTTGACAGACGAACTGTCTGAAGGTTGGCGAGGTGACTCACCTGGGGTCACACAGCAGCATCGTGGCCACCTGGGATTCTGGAATGAAGACTCTTTCCCTGCAATTGTGTTTCTCTTGCTGCTTTGTTAATTCAGCAAACATTTCCCAGGCCCTCGGAGCAGTCTGCTCTGTTCCCACGGTACGAATCCCTTGTCTTCTTGGGTTCTGCTGAAGTCTCTCAGTTACTCTGGCCACATGCTGTGCCCATCAGCTGATCAGCTCTGCCAGGTCATGCCTGGCAATCCACACCTTGCCTTGTTTTCCC
The DNA here is from genome assembly GCF_000001405.40 of Homo sapiens. Taxonomy (NCBI): domain Eukaryota; kingdom Metazoa; phylum Chordata; class Mammalia; order Primates; family Hominidae; genus Homo; species Homo sapiens. The sequence goes on along the minus strand of NC_000002.12, from coordinate 25,194,673 downwards.
GGGATGCTGAGCTGGCTCTGGTCCTCTCTCCACGTGGCAGGCATCTTGGCCCTCTCACTCACAATCCAGAACAGTTGCAATGTGGATGAGTGAAAATTTGCAGGATCTATCCAAAGTGCCCTTGCCCTTTGACCCAGGAGTTCCACCTCTAGGATTGATCCTATTAGCAATGCATGAAGGTTCATGCACAAGGAGCACTGTTCAGTGCAACATGTTTTGGAACAGCCTTGCCTGTAGAAACTCCTGCAGCCTGTGGCGCATGCTCTTTTTTTTTTTTTTTTTTTTTTTTGAGATAGTGTCTCGCTCTGTCGCCCAGGCTGCCAGGCTGGAGTACAGTGGTACAATCTCGGCTCACTGCAACCTCTGCCTCCTGGGCTGAAGTGATTCTCCTGCCTCAGCCTCCCGAATAGCTGGGATTACAGGCGCATGTCACCACACCCAGCTACTTTTTGTTTTTTTAGTAGGGATGGGGTTTCACGGTGTTGGTCAGGCTGGTCTCGAACTCCTGACCTCAGGTGATCCACCGCCTCAGCCTCCCAAAGTGCTGGGATTACAGGCGTGAGCCCCCATGCCCAGCCCTCCACACTCTCCTGATTTCTTGTCTCTTCCTGGCTCCTCCTCTGTCACCACACTCTAAATGTGAGTGTCTCCCTGGGCACTAGGCTTTCCCAGTTCTCACCTTATGCTGCTGTCATGGTGTGACTCTCCACTCCCTTGGTTTTAAGCCACCTCCGCGCTGACTCTCCCATGGTCAAGTCTCCAGGCCTGATCTGTCAATGGTCCAGCTTCTCACAGCCAGTTGCCTTTTTTTTTTTTTTCTGAGATACAAATCACTTACCATAAAATTCATCATTTTAAAGTGCATAATTCAGGGCTGGGCATGGTGGCTCATGCCTGTAATCCCAGCACTTTGGGAGGCCAAGGTGGGTGGATCAGCTGAAGTCAGGAGTTCGAAACCAGCCTGGCCAACATGGTGAAACCCTGTCTCTACTAAAAATGCAAAAATAAGCCGGGCACAGTGGCGGGTGCCTATAGTCCCAGCTACTGGGGAGGCTGAGGCAGGAGAATGGCTTGAACCTGGGAGGTGGAGATTGCAGTGAACCAAGATCACACCACTGCACTCCAGCCTGGGCAACAGAGTGAGACTCCATCTCAAAAATAAACAAATAAATAATGTGCATAATTTGGTGGTTTTTTGTATGTTCCCAAGGCTGTGCAACCATCACCACTAGATAATTCCAGAACATTTTCACCACCCAAAAAAGAAACCCATGAGCAGTCGCTCCCCATTCCCCCATTCCCAGCCCCTGGCAATCAGGACTCTATTTTCTGCCTCTATAGATCTGCCTATTCTGGACATTTTCTATAAGTGGAATCATACAATATGTAGCCCTTTGTGCATGTTATTTCATTTAGCATAATGTTTTTGAAGTGCATCCATGTTGTAGGATGTATCAGTACTTCATTCTTTATGTTTAAAAACAATTTTGTTGGATACCATGTTTTGTCCATCCATTCATTCATCAGTAGATGAACAGTGGGCTGTTTCCACTTTTGGGCTTTTATGAATAATGTTGCTATGAACATTCATGCATCAGTTTATTCATTCATAAATATATACACATATACATATATACACATATATACACACACACACACACACACACACACACACACATATATATATATGTTTGAGACAGAGTCTCGCTGTGTCCCCCAGGCTGGGGTACAGCGGTGTGATCTCGGCTCACTGCAACCATCTGTCTCCCAGGTTCAAGCGATTCTCCTACCTCAGCCTACTGAGTAGCTGGGATTAGAGGCCTGTGCCACCACACCCAGCTAATTTTTGTATTTTTAGTAGAGACAGCATTTCACCATGTTGGCCAGGCTGATCTCGAACCCCTGACCTCAAATGATCTGCTTGCCTCAGCCTCCCAAAGTGCTGGGATTACAGGCGTGAGCCACTGCGCCTGGCCTGCATACACCAGTTTTCTTGTGAACATGCTTTGGATTCTCCTGCGTACACACCCAGGAATGCAGTTGCTGGCCCATATGGTTCACTTCAGAGGAGGTGCCAGACTGTTTCACCGCAGCTGCACCATTTGCATTCCTATCAGCATTGTATGAAGTTCCAGCTAGGCCTCTTGAAGTTTTCCCTGAGGGGTCCCAGGGGGTTGTCACACTTCACATGTCAATGTCTGAACACTTTCTCTCCTTTGTATTGGTAAATGGCACACGCTGTTCAAGCCAGACACTTGGGGGCCATTCTTCAAACCAACAACATTTCTGACCCCTCCAGCCGTCAATAAGACCTCTCAATCCTACCTCCCAAATAAATCTCAAACCAGTTAATTTTTCCATCTCCACTGCCAACACCCTATCCAAGCCACCAGCATTACTCACTTGAACTGCATCATAGTCTTCTGCTGGGGGTCCCCACTTCCAGACTTGTTCCTGCTAATCTACTCCATAGCCGAGTTATTTCTTTAAAATACATTTTTAATGTCGGTTGCAGTGGCTCACACCTGTAATCCCAGCACTTTGGGAGGCCGAGGTGGGCGGATCACCTGAGGCCAGGAGTTCGAAAACAGACTGGCCAACGTGGCAAAACCCGGTCTCTACTAAAAATACAAAAAAATTAGCCACGTGTGGTAGCGCATGCCTGTAATCCCAGCTACTCGGGAGGCTGAGACAGGAGAATCGCTTCAACCTGGAAGGTGGAGGTTACAGTGAGCCGAGATCAGGCCACTGCACTCCAGCCTGGGCGACAGAGTGAGACTCTGTCTCAAAAATAATAATAATAATAATAATAATAATATTTTAAAATTTAAATCAAAGTCATCTATATATATGTGTGTGTGTGTGTGCACACACATACACACATATTTATAGATATGTATGCATGTATAATGCAAATACAGGGAAAAGAGTCAACTATTCCCAGAAGGTGCATGGGCCACAGGGCCTCCCCTGATCTGACTGCCAGTCACTTCCCTAACCTCATCTCCTGCCTCTCTCCCTTGGCCCACTGCAGTGTAGCTAGGCCTCCTCACTGTTCCTCCAACCCAGCAGGACCACTCCTACCTAGAGGCCTTTGCACTTGCTGCTCCTTGTATCTGAATGCTCTTCTCCCAGACATCCACGTGGCTCTCTTCTTTGCCTCTTTCGTGTCTTCACTCAAATGTCACTTACTCAGTGATGCCATCTCCGGCCCATCTATCTAAACCCCTCCCCTTCATCCCAACCTTCTCTCTTGCTTCATCCCAACCACAATGTAGCACAGTATGGATTTTACTTATTTTATTTTTCAATTCCCCTTCTAAAATATAAACTGCATTTTTTGGCTGTTTTATTTACTTCTGTGTCCCTAGTGCCTAGAACAGGACCTGGCACCAAAGGAGATCAGTAAATACGTGTTGAATGAATGAATGAGAAACATCAGTTTCACCATTCAGTTATTTCCCAACCTCCGACCTTGTCCTCAGAAGTAACCACTTTTCATGGTTTCTCTGGGTATTTAACTCAGTTTCTCTAAATAACATGTTACTGTTGCTGTTTTTGATTTATCCATTTTAAACATCTACTGTCTTTCACTGATCTTACCACTTCCTTTCCATCATCCCAAAACTGTGATTTTGCATTTAGTTAAATCATTAGGACTATGTAAATATTGTTCACTGCAAAGATAAATTTGTACTCTGATTATATTTCCTTCCTCATACAGCATTTTTCTCTCCCTAGAGCTTCTAATTGCCTGTTTCATTCCCTGCAATGCTTATTATTATTATCATAATCCTGATAATTTTCCAATGTGGCACCATATTAGAGATTCTTAGAAGTTTTGTTTCCCTCCATGGTACTTATCACAGTTTGTAATTATATAGTTATTTGGTTGTTTACTTTCTTAAGTGTCTGTCTCTTTCATTGGAACATAGGGTTTTAGAACAAAGCCTGCTTTGTTTACCGGAGATTCCCAGCACCTGGCCCCTCTCTCCTGCCTGGCACATAGCGGATCCTTAACACACATTTATTGAATCAGTGAAGAATAAAATCCGGAAACGTACATGTATGAGCATAGGTGAATGGTTGGTTGGACAAATTGTAGCGTAGCTCTAGAATGGAAAAGTATCCAGCATTTAGAAACAATGAGTTACAAAGGCTGAATACTCTGTCAGATATCATTGTTTTGGTGACTGTTACTGAGAATACCCATACATTTAGCAGCTTCAGAATGATCATTGTATTATGCTCAAGGAGTCTGTGGGTCAGGAAGTTACATCCACATTATTGTTTTTACAAATTCACATAGCTTTGTTTTTCTTTTTTCTCCTTTTACTTCTTGAAACAGGGGCTCGCTTAGTCACCCAGGCTGGAGTGCAGTGGTGTGATCACAACTCACTGCAGCCTCGACCTCCCAGGGCTCAGGAGATCTTCCCACCTCAACCTCCCAAGTAGCTGGGACTACAGGCACACGCCACCACGCCCAGCTAATTTTTGTATTTTTAGTAGAGACAGGGTTTCGCCATATTGCCCAGGCTTGTCTTGAACTCCTGGGCTCAAGTGATCTGCCCGCCTCGGCCTCCCAAAGTGCTGGGATTACAGGTGTGAGCCACCGTGCCCAGCCTTGTTTTTCTTGTAAGATCAAAATGTGCTTATCACAGAATAGTCAGAAAACGTAGACAAAAAGAATAAACAGAAAAGACCCCACAATCTAACTCACCTGTCAATAAACACTGTTAATACCTCCAAAGTATCCTTTCCAAACCCTTTGAGTTTGATTTTCATGTACATTCTTCCAGGCTTAAACAAATGCATGTATAAACCCATCATGCTCTGTTGTGACCTGTATTTTCTATTCAACAACATACTGTAGGTAACTCTGCACATTAGTACTGGAGCTCAGTGTCGTTCCTTTAAAATGTTACGGAACATTGCTTTCCTCTGTGTTCACTTGGTCCTGCCTTCTTTCTTTGAAGAAATGCCCACTGTGTGCTGGACACCGTCTTATGTGTTAGGTGTATAGCGGTGAAACAGACTCGCTGCCTGCTTTCCTAGGGCTTATAGGCAGGCAAGTGTAAGCATCATGATTTATTAAACCAATCCCCAGGTGGTGGATATTTTGTTTCCATTTTTTCTTTTTAATTAGTTAATTATTATTATTACTATTATTATTGTTATTATTATTGTTTTTAGAGACGAGGTCTTGCTCTGTCACCCAGGCTGGAGTGCAGTGGAATGATCATGGTGCACTGTGGCCTTGAATCTGGGGCTCAAGCGATCCTCCCACCTCAGCCTCCCAAGTACCTGGGACCACAGGTGTGTACTACAACGCCCACCTAATTTTTTTATTTTTATTTTTTGTAGAGATGGGGTCTCCCTGTGCTGCCCAGGCTGGTCTCAAACACCTGGCCTCAAGTGATCCTCTCACCTTAGCCTCCCAAAGTGTTGCGGTTATAGGCATAAGCCATTGCACCTAGCCCAATTTTTCTTTTATAAATACAAAAACCCTTATACATATATCTTTATTTTCTTAAGATCAGGTTCTAAAACTGGGATACCTGTGGTAATGGGCCATTGAAAATATGGGTACATGGCTCATGTATCCATTGAAAATATGGAAATATGAAAATATGGAAAATATGAAAATATGGCTCATTGAAAATATGGATACATGGCTCACGCCTGTAATCCCAGCACTTTGGGATGTTGAGGCAGGCAGATCACTTGAGGTCAGGAGTTTGAGAACAGCCTGGTCAACATGACAAAACCCTGCCTCTGCTAAAAATACAAAAACTAGCCAGGCTTGGTGGTGGATACCTGTAGTCCCAGCTACTCGGGAGGCTCAGGCAGGAAAATCGCTTGAACCCAGGAGGCAGAGGCTGCAGTGAGCCAATATCATGTCACTGCACTCCATCCTGGGCAACAGAGCAAGACTCCATCTGAAAAAAAAAAAAAGAAAAGGAAGGAAGAGAGGGAGGGAGGGAAAGATAGAAATAAAGAAAGAAAGAAGAAAGAAAGAAAGAAAGAAAGAAGAAAGAAAGAAAAGAAAGGAAGGAAGGAAGGAAGGAAGGAAAGAAGGAAGGAGAAAGAAAGAAAGAAAAGAAAGAAAATATGGATACATAAATCCAGATTTCTCTCCAGTAAAATTGTTTCAATTTGCATTCCCTGAGCCATGAACGGGAGCGTCAGTTTCTTTGCATCTTGCCGAACCCTGGATATGAGCACAGTTAACGACCTGTGTGGATCTGAGCTGTGGGAAATGATTATCTAGTGGTGGGCTTGTTTTCCCATTGTGTCTTGCGTGGGATGTGATGGCCAGGGCTCCTGAGGCTGGGTGCGCCTGGCTCTGCTCTTTGTTCTGATACCCTTATTGTGCTCTGGTCTCCCTGGGCAGATTAACCACCTGACCCGTTAGGGAACAGATTGTCTTTCTGACCCTTTCTAGCTGGGGCTTAGCAGAGAACCTGGTCTGTGGGAAACACGTGGTCTTGTGCTTTGCCTCGGTGTTCCTTTCAGACTTTCCCTCTGCCTCACCAGCCTCCTCACTTGGCCATCTGTCCGTGGCAACGTGGTATCTCGCTCTCCTGCAGGGCTTAGTGTCACCTGCAACCTTGAAAGCTAACATCACTTGGCAGCCCCTCTTCAAGGTCACAGATAAAAGCGTTTCAAGGACCAGTAATTGCACAGGCCCCACTGTTCAGGATTCTTAAGGAGACACGCCCTTCTCCACAGAGACCTTTGATCTTTCTGTCATGCCTGTTGCCTGTAAATGACCGCACATGCTTCTCATGTGGTGGCACATGTTCACAGAGGTACCTTTGGTGGAGAATGGCCTTCATGGCAAAGTCAGAAGCATGAACAGATAGGACATTCGGCTGCATGTGCAGGTTCCCCTCAAAGCCTGCTCCTGTGCTCTTTAGGACAAGGCCTTAACCTAAAGGGTTGTATTGGGATATGGGAGTTTCAGACACCATGGCAGAATGGAAGGGAGGGAGCTTTTTGTTTATTTATTATTCATTTAAAGTGTTTTTCTTTTCTTTTTTGAAGCTGAGTCTCTCTCTGTTGCCCAGGCTGGAGGGCAGTGGCACGGTCTCGGTTCACTGCAACTTCTGTCTCCCTGGTTCAAGTGATTCTCCTGCCTCAGCCTCCCAAGTAGCTGGGATTATAGGCACACACCACCATACCCGGCTAATTTTTGTATTTTCAGTAGAGATGAGGTTTCACCACGTTGCCCAGGCTGGTCTCAAACTCCGGGCTTCAAGTGATCCTCTCGCCTCAGACTCCCAAAGTGCTGGGATTATAGGTATGAGCCACTGTGCCCAGCCCCAATTCTCAGATATTTGAATTATTTCTAGTCATTCAGGAACTCTCAGCCAAGGCCCAAGATGTTGTGGAGCAAATACACACCATCCCTGCTGTGTTCTGTCTAAATTCCTGATCTCCAGAAAATTCACGAGCAGCATACCTTGGTTATTGTTTGATGCCATTAAGTTTGGGATGAGCCAGCCTGACCAACATGGTGAAACCCCGTCTCTACTAAAAATATAAAAATTAGCTAGGCATGGTGGCATGTGCCTGTAATCCCTGCTGCTCAGGAGGCTGAGACAGGAGAATCACTTGAACCCAGGAGGTGGAGGTTGCAGTGAGCTGAGATTGTGCCACTGCACTCCAGCCTGGGCGACAGAGCAAGACTCATCTCAAAAAAAAAAAAAAAGTTTGGGATGGTTTGTTAAGCAGCTGTAGATAGTTGGAACATGGCTTGAATCCCAGTGCTTTGGGAGACTGAGAAGGGAGGATCTCTGGAGGCCAGGAATTCCAGATAACTAGAATATATGATATTGATACTCTTTAAAAGTTCTATTTATACAAGTGTGTTTCTTCATGTATACTATGTTTTTGTTTTTAAAAGATGTTTCTAACCCTTAAGGAAGTTGAATTTAATATGATTGACTTATTAGTTTTTCAGCGTTGCTTAAGGGTTTAGAAGGATTTTGCTTGCTAGCTGAGGCTTCATGTGTGGAGTGTTTAAGAGAATCAGATATGCTACATTTGTAAATGTAGCTTAAAGTGTCTAAGAAAACGGAATCAAGCATAAATTGAGTTCATGTCTGAGAGACTTCATTTACTATATTTATATGCTAGTTGAGCCTTTATTCAAGATTAAGTAAAAATGAATGATAATTTGAGTTACAGGCAAATTGAAGATTTTGAACTTATGTCTATAAAGGCTTGAAGAAACTTAGATTGTAATTTACTGAATATTGATCAAAACCAAAATGAGATTCTTTCCTGCACACAGGATCCCCCTCAGACGTAAGCACCCAATTGACATGGCACTGAAGGAAGAATGTAGAGGATCCACAGTGTGCTTTGATGGGAAGAAAAATAAAAAAGATTATTCCAGAATAACACATGTGACCAGATTGTTTTGCTTGTATAGACAAGGATCTGCCCTGGCTGAAAAAGACCTGTGCTGTTGGAATCAGTGATGTCTCCAAAATATACTGTAAATCAGTAGGTTTTGTTTTTTGTTTTTTTCCTAATTTTCAGACAGAATCTCGCGCTCTCACCCAGGCTGGAGTGTAGTGGTTTGATCTTGGCTCACTGCAACCTCTGCCTCCCAGATTCAAGCAATTCTCCTGCCTCAGCCTCCCGAGTAGCTGGGACTACCGGTGTGTGCCACCACACCCGGGTAATTTTTTGTATTTTTAGTAGAGACGGGGTTTCTCCATGTTGATCAGGCTGTTCTCAAACTCCTGACCTCAGGTGGTCCACCCGCCTTGGCCTCCCAAAGTGTTGGGATTACAGGCGTGAGCCTCTGCGCCCAGTCTAAAACAATATATTTAAACCATTTAAAAAAAATGCATTGCGGCCAGTTGCAGTGCCTCACGCCTGTAATCCCAGCACTTTGGGAGGCCGAGGCACGCGGATCACGAGGTCATGAGATCGAGACCATCCTCGCCAACATGGTGAAACCCAGTCTCTACTAAAATTACAAAAATGAGCTGGGTATGGTGGTGCACGCCTGTAGTCCCAGCTGCTTGGGAGGCTGAGGCAGGAGAATCGCTTGAACCCAGGAGGCAGAGGTTGCAGTGAGCCGAGATCACACCACTGCACTCCAGCCTGGGGACAGAGCAAGACTCCATCTCAAAAAAAAAAAAAAAAAAAAATGCATTGTCAAATTGGCAAGAAAATAAGGAATCTGAGAAGAACAAGATGCAAGTGAGAGCAGGAATCTATGTTTTAATAGGTGTGTGAGCCCTGAACCAGCTTGCCCCAGTGGGAGGGTGTCGGCTGGATCCTGGAAACTCCAGGCTTCTCTTTTGACCATTGCTGCAGAGCCAGAGACAGAACATCAAGCCCAGCCCCTCAAGGCAAGGCATCTAGTGCGAGGTCAGATGTCACTTTTTCAGAGTTTTTTTGGCTTAAAAAAATGTATTATTCTGGATGAATCTTAGAATCAACTTGTCAATAAAAAAAATCCTTTGAGGCCAGGCGCGGTGGCTCATGCCTATAATCCCAGCACTCTGGGAGGCCAAGGCAGGTAGATCACCTGAGGCAAGGAATTCGAGACCAGTCTGGCCAACATGGTGAAACCCCGTCTCTACTAAAAATACAAAAATTAGCTGGGTGTGATGCACATGTCTGTAATCCCAGCTACTTGGGAGGCTGAGGCAGGAGAATAGCTTGAATCTGGGAGGCGGAGGTTGCAGTGAGCCAAGATTGCACCATTGCACTCCAGCCTGGGCGAACAAGAGCGAAACTCTGTCAAAAAAAAAACAAACCCAAAAACAAAACAAACAAAAAAACAAAACAGAAAGAAAAAGAAAAAAAAGAAAAAAAATCCTATCCTTTGGGAATTTTTCTTAAGACCTCATTGAATTCTCATCTTTTGGCTTCCGATATTATCTATACACTGATGACTTCCACACTCACATCTCCAGTTTGAGACTCTTTCTTTCCTGCACTCCGGACTTAGAAATCTCACCACCTACTTGAGCTTCACTGGTTGTCTAACTTAAATCAACACGTCCAAAACAGAGCTAATCTTGCTCCCACACGTGCTCTTCTCTCAGTCTTTCTCACAGCAGTAAATGGAAACTTGTCTTTCCAGTTACTCAGGTCCAAAACGTGGATTCATTCTAGACTCTTTCTTTCACACTTGTCATCCAATCTCTTAACAAATTCTGCTGGCTGTACCTTCACAGTGTGTCTGACTCTAGCCACTCCTTCCTCCTCTGCATCCACCCTGGTCTGCGTCACCATCACCTGCTCCCTGGGTGTCTGCAGTAGTCTCCCAGCTGTGTTCCCTCCCTCAGTCTGTCCTCAACCCCACAGCCACATGACCCTGAGAAGGTGATCAGATGGGGCCACTCTTCTGTCCAGCACAGCACAAGCATTGCGCTTGTTTCCTGTCTCCCTTTGCCAGAATGGAAGCCCCAGGAGGACAGGGCCTGTTCTTATCTTGCTCAGAGTAAAAGCCCAGGCCCTTCAGAGGCACCATGGAGCTCTGCACCCCTGCTGCTCCATCTCTGGCACCCTCGGGTCCAGCAGCCACACTCTTGATGTTGCCCAAATATGCAAAAGTTGCAACCATCTCCGAGCTTTGTGCTTAATGTCTCCCCTGCCTGGAATGCCTTTGCTCCAGAATCGGAATGATTTTCTTCCTCACTTCCTCCAGGCCTCTGTTCTGGTGTCATCTTATCACAGAGGCCTTTCCTAACCACCCCACGCTCCACTCATCCCTACCAATGCTTTATGGTTCTCCAAAGTGTGGATCACCATCAGACTTAGCAGATGTTCACCTGTGCTTATTCTCTCTCTCCCCTTGCCAGAATGGAAGCCCCAGGAGGACAGGGCCTGTGTCTTGTTCTCTGCTGAATGCTGCCTCCTAGTCTGTGCCTGGCACATAGTCAGAGATTTGTAAGTTGTTTTTTTTTTTTTTTGGAGACAGAGTATCACTCTGTTGCCCAGGCTGGAGTGCACTGGCACAATCTCGGCTCACTGCAACCTCCACCTTCTAGGTTCAAGTGATTCTCGTGGCTCAGCCTCCCAAGCATCTGGGATTATAGGTGCATACAACCACACCTGGCTAATGTTTTGTATTTTTAGTAGAGACAAAGTTTCACCATGTTGGCCGGGCTGGTCTCGAACTCCTGACCTCAGGTGATCCGCCCGCCTTGGCCTTCCAAAGTGCTGGAATTACAGGTGTGAGCCATCGCACCTGTCCTGTAAATATTTGTTGAATGGATACTTGAATGATTGGGAGAGAATCTTAACATAATGCATCTTCCACTTACTGAGACCAGTTTCATTCTCAGGTCAGAGGTCTCCCCAGTCTCACCCAGGCCAATCCCCTCAGATGTGCGTAGCCCACACTGAAAGTCCCCAAAATGGTGCATTTATGTTTGGATACAGAGCTACTGGCCCACAGATTGTTGGCCCCTTAGGGCTAAAATTATGACAGTGAGAAAAATCTGACATAGGGAAATTATGACAGTAAAAGAAATCTGACCTAACTGACTCCATCTTGCGTCTAACCTCCAAGCTGTCCTTGTTCATAAGCCAAGCTAACTCTGGGAGGAATTTAATTTGTATTTTAACCTTAAAGCAAGGATAATAATAGCCCTTCCCAAAAGTACCCCCTCATTGCTTGGGGACTGAAACTGCCTTTGGAAAACTAACAAATTAGTCACAAGATTAAAAATGATGGCTCAGGGGTCATGCAGCCAGAGGCCACAAGATTCCTAACCTCCCCAAATGCTCCTGTAGATAACACCACTATTGTAAAACCTAAGATTGGTGTTCAAGGTATTTTCAGATCCTGCGTTCTGATGAAACAGTTGATACCACGCAGACTGGTAAACTGGCTCAACTACTTTTGTGATCCCGCCCACAATTTCAATCCCTTATGAGTTTATTGGTTGGGTCTGGGAATGCAGACCCAACCAATCTGCATTCCTCATTCCCTAGCAGCTTGCCCACCAAATTATCCTTAAAAACCCTAGTCTCCACAGCTGGGTGTGGTGGCTCACACCTGTAATCCCAGCACTTTGGGAGGACGAGGCGGGCGGATCACCTGAGGTCATGAGTTCGAGACCAGCCTGACCAACATGGTGAAACCCATCTCTACTAAATACAAAAAATTTACCGGGCGTGGTGGCAGGCGCCTGTAATCCCAGCTACTTGGGAGGCTGAGGCAGGAGAATCGCTTGAACCCAGGAGGCGAAGGTTGCAATCAGCCGAGATTGCACCATTGCACTCCAGCCTGGGCAACAAGAGCAGAACTCTGTCTCAAAACAAAAACAAAAAAACCCTAGTCTCCAAATTTTGGGGGAGGCTGGTTTGAGTAATAACACACTATTTTCCTTCTGCTTCCTTCCTGTGATTATTAAACTATTTCTCTGTTGCAAAAACCTGCTATTCTCCGTGCATTGGCTTTTCTAGGCAACAGGCAAGATGAACCCATTTGGCAATTATAGTATCTTGCTTGGTAATCAGTGTGTAATAACACACATCATAATGCACAATGTGCATTGTGTGAACTAAGTTCACAGTTCAGCAAGAGTCGATCCACCAAGCAAGATACAGAACATTTCCATCACCCCAGAAAGTTCCTGGGACCTTTTCTAGTCACTTCCCATTTGAATAGCTTCCTTTTGCCTGTTCTCACACTTCATGAAAATGGAATCACAAGATATGTTGTCTTTTGTGTCTGGATTCTTTTATGCAACATAATGGTTTGAGATTCATTCATGGTGTCGCACATATCAGTAGCTCCTTTCTATTGCTGAGTAGTATTCCAGCCTATGAATATACCACAATTTGTTTATCCATTTTCCTCCAAAATCATCCTTTTTAAAATAACAGTTTTGAGGCCAGGCGCAGTGGCTCACGCCTGTAATCCCAGCACTTTGGGAGGCTGAGGCGGGCAGATCACCTGAGGTCAGGAGTTCGAAACCAGCCTGGGCAACATGGTGAAACCCCCGTCTCTACTAATAATACAAAAATCAGCCAAGCGTGGTGGCACTTGCCTGTAATCCCAGCTACTCAGGAGGCTGAGGTAGGAGAATTGCTTGAATCCTGGGAGGTGGAGGTTGCAGTGAGCCGAGATCGCGCCATTGCACTTCAGCCTGGAATGACAAGAGCAAAACTTCGTCTCAAAAATAATAATAATAATAATAACAGTTTTGAGATTTAATTCATACCCATACAATTGACCTATTTAAAGTATACGATAAAATGGCTTTTAGTATATTTACCAAACTGTGTAACTATCATCAATTTTAAAACATTGTCATCACTGCAAGAAAGAAACCCTGTACCCGTGTGCACTGCTTAAGTGACGGGTACACTAAAAACTCAGATTTCACCACTAAAGAACTCATCCATGTAACCAAAAACCATATGTACTTCAAAAACTATTAAAATAGGTTGGGGGCAGTGGCTCACGACTATAATCCCAGCATTTTGGGAGGCTTAGGCGGGAGGATCACTTGCGGTCAGGAGTTCGAGACCAGCCTGGCAACGTGGTGAAACCCCGTCTCTACTAAAAATACAAAATATTGCCGGTTTGGTGGCACATGCCTGTAATCACAGCTGCTTGGGAGGCTGAGGCTGGATAATTGCTTGAACCTGGGAGGTGTAGGTTACAGTGAGCCGAGATCATGCCACTGCACTCCAACCTGGGCGACAGAGTGAGACTCCATCTCAACAAACAAACAAACAAACAAAGCAAAAACTATTGAAACAAACAAAAAGGAAACCTGTATCCATTTGCAGCCACTCTTCATTTCCCATTGACACTCCCAACCCCTAGCAACCACTAATCTACTTCCTGGCTCTATGGATTTGCCTATTCTGGGTATTTCATATAAGTGGAATCATACAATATGTGAACTTTAGTGTCTGACTTTTTCCAATTAGCATCATGTTTTAAATATGCATCCATGTTGTAGTATATATCAGTATTTCATTTCTTTTTCTTTTTTTTTGTTTGTTTGTTTTTTTGTTTTTTTTTTTGAGACGGAGTTTTATTCTTGTTGCCCAGGCTGGAGTGCGATGGCATGATCTTGGCTCACTGCAACCTCTGCCTCCTGGGTTCAAGCGAGTCTCCTGCCTCAGCCTCCCAAGTAGCTGGGATTACAGGCATGCACCAACACGCCCGGCTAATTTTGTATTTTTAGTAGAGATGGGGTTTCTCCATGTTGGTCCGGCTGGTCTCAAACTCCCGACCTCAGGTGATCCACCCACCTCAGCCTCCCAAGGTGCTGGGATTACAGATGTGAGCCACCACACCCCGCCAGTATTTCATTTTTTTTTTTGTTGTTCTCAAATAATATTCCATTTTATGGATATATCACTTTTTATTTATCCATTCATCAGTAGGTAGACATTTGGGTTGCTACCACTTTTTGGCTCTTATGAATAATGCATCTGTGAGCATACAAATTTTATCAAAATGTGTGGAAAAATGTTTGAGTATATACCTAGGAAGGGAATTCCTGGGTCATATGGTAACTCTATGTTTAACATTTTGAGGAACTGCCAAACTCTTTGACAAAGTGGCATTATTTTACATTCCCATCAGCAGCAAAATACCCTTTCAAGAGTAAATAAATAAGTAGTGAGACCTTATTTATTATCTTGAAATGAAATTCATTGATAATATAACCTTCTCATGTTCATAATACATAGAAAAATAACTTCAACCTAAAGGTTGAACGATAATATAAAGGATAAATTAAAAGAACATAATTTATACATGTTTTTGTTTTTTGAGACAGAGTCTCACTCACTGTGTCACCCAGGCTGGAGTGCAGAGGCACAATCTTGGCTCACTGCAACTTCCGCCTCCCGGGTTCAAGAGATTCTCCTGCCTCAGCCTCCTGAGCAGCTGGGACTACAGGCACACACCACCACACTCTGCTAATTTTTTGTATTTTTAGTAGAGATGAGGTTTTGCCATGTTGGACAGGCTGGTCTCAAACTCCTGACCTCAAGCGATCCACCCACCTTGGCATCCCAAAGTTTTGGGATTATAGGTGTGAGCCACCATGCCCAGCGAATACATGTTTTTTGAAATGAGATGTTGAAGTCAGAGACTGGCCTTCTCAGGCGGATTAGACCTGGTCTGGAAGCATTTCCCCTAAGGGGTCTGCCAAAGGCTCCAGCCCCAGCCCCTCAATGGCACCAAGAACAGCTGCCTAGGGGGATGCTGGGAAAGGAATCACTTTCAACTGGACATAAAGGCTTTGGACAGCGTGTTAAAAACAAACCAAACTACCTTTCAAACCCATTTCAGGAGTCGTTGCACCCTTCCCATCACACACACACACACATGCACACACACATACACGTGCATGCACATGCACAGACACACACAGAGTCATGGGCTCTTTGAGCTGCTGCATAGCAGGTCACTGTGCACCAGCTCTGCCCAGCCTGGTGTCCCTCTCCTGGGGCAATGGGACTGAGGGCACAGTGGGGGCTCTCCGGGCCGCAGGTGGGCTGCCTGGATTCGCTGTCCTGGCTGCTCCATTCCTTTGAGCAGCAGGCATGGAAATGGAAGATGGGTACCTAACGGGGGCGGGGGCTGGAGAGGGAGACTGAGCTGAGTGCCTGTAAAAAGGCCACTTCAAGCCCCCTCCACGCAGCCATTGTTGGGTCTGGAGGAAGGAGGACCGCTCGGAAGCTTCTGAATGCCGCCCTGTGATGCACTCACTAATGGATGTGCATTAGTGGCGTCCTTCCTGGCCACCACGTCACTCTCCCTACCTCAACTGCTGGCTGGAGAACTCCGCATTCTTCTGGAAAAGTAGCAGTCATGCTCGAGCCCCTAACAAAGGCCTGTCCCCCACAAAAGGACCATTATGACCACCGCTGAGTCAGAATGGTGGCCGCTGGCACCTGAGCTCTGTCTGGAAAGAGCGGCAGCAGGGACGTCATCTAGCAGAGCCTGGTGTGTCTGTTATGTCCACAACATCTTCAGCAAAGACACTACTTCCAGGAAGTCTACTTGGATTGCAGAGGCGCAAGCCTTCATTGTGAAAAAAGGGCTTGGGATAAGGGAGTGGTTCTAAAAGAATACATGTGGCTCCACATGGCAATATACCCAGGTGTAATAAGCTCAGGGTAAGAGAGAACCTGCCATTGCTGATGCAGGACTGTGCACACAAACTTACAGGCTCTCTACTGGGGTGTCCCATGGAACTGGCTCTGTGTGAGGAGCGGCTGCAGAGGGCTCTTTGATCAGGGCTGGCTTTCCACAGGCCACTTGGACCCCATGGGTGGCTGCCTGCAGCAGGAGTGCTGGTAATTAGTGGCCCCATTAGTTTCCTCTGGGATTCAGAGTGAACAGAGCAGAGAACTGGCCTGCCCATGTGTGCAGACTGGAGCAGATTCTCAGAGAGAAACAGGACACGAGAAAGGCCCAAGAGACAGAAGGACAGAGCTTACCTCCTCAGCCCAGAGGACTCAGCTGTGCCCATTAGGGGCCACGTTCTGTAAGACTATTGTTTGTTTGTTTTTTAATCACAGAGCTTGACTCTAGATCTGAGCCTAGAATCATAGAATGACAGGCCTGAAACGGACCACATCCTCCCCGCCCCCATTGTTCAAATGAGGGGGCTGAGGCCTGGAGGTGGGGTGGGGGTGGGGGGAGTGACTGACCCAGGTCCCTGTGTCTGCTGGCCACAGAGCTGGGGCTAGAACCCAGGTCACCTCACCCCCTCCCACTGCTTCTTCCTCCACTCTATTTTTTTTTTTTTCTGAGGCAGGGTTTGGCTCTGTTGCCCAGGCTGAAGTGCAGTGGCATGATCATGGCTCACTGCAGCCTCCACCTCCCAGGTTCAAGTGATCCTCCCACCTCAGCCTCCTAAGGAGCTGGGACTACAGGCGTGTGCCACCATGCCCGGCTAATTTTTGTATGTGTGTGTATATACGTGTATATATATATATATATTTGTAGAAATGGGGTTCCACCATATTACCTAGGCCCTTCCTCCACTCTTGACTCTGCTTTGGACCCTGAGGGTGCTGACAACCTGCTCTAGGGAGGGGCATGGACTCTGGCCCTCCCCACTGTGCTCTGCGGCACCCAGACCATGCAGACCTTGGCCCAGGCTGCTGCACTAATGCGCGCATTAGTGGATAAAAGCAGTCTCAAGGGTCTCTTCACGAGGTCCCTTTGGCTGGAATAAAGCAAATTAAAACCCCATTCAAAGGTCAATTGAAATCTCTTTCATTCCAGTTCTCTGCACAAATTGATTCCTCTTTGCCCTTGAGGTCAAACCGAAGGCTGGTGAAGTAGCCCAGCTGCAGTGCTGCATGAGAGAAGCTCAATGAAAAGGCTGAGACTGGGGAGGGCGTGTTGCAGGGGTGAAGCGGGGCAGTGGGATCCGCCTGAATTGTAGGGCCATCTGGGGCACCAGTAACCCTCTCCTCTGCAGTGCTTCAGGCTTCAGGCCCTTTTCTGGAGGCAGCTCCCTGTCTGCCCTGCAAACCACATCAGGCTCCCCTCAGAGGGATGCTTAATTAGGGTTTCTATTGACAATTGTGGGTGCCAAGAGAAAATTTCCTTCCTTCACTCTGCCCTCTGAAGTTTTGTTGAAAATGAACTGCTAATAGACAGATTAATAGGGGAACAAGACATACAAATTAATTTCATGTGTATAGCATAGCAGAATGGTGGGAGAATGATTACCCAGTAACTCAATGAGGTCCAGATGCCTGCAGATATTTCTTGATAGGGGAAGGGAAAATGAGGGGCATAGGAGTAAATGATTTTCTGGGAAAGTGAATGCGCCCGAGGAACAATGGCCTGGGACAAAGTTCTTCTCTGTTCTTTGGGTAGGTGGTGTGAAGGTGAGAAGCAGAAAGTCATTGTGAACGCAGCCTGTCTTATTATGCAGGTAACCCCCCTAGGCTATCTCTTGGAGTTGCCCTCAGAAAAATGCAAGAAAAGTCTGTCTGGAGGCGGTGATGATCCGTCTCTTCTCAGGTGGTTAATCTTTCTTTCCTGGTTATTTGATGAGATTCCTATGAAGGGAGGCTTCAGGCAATTGTATTTCTTTTAGAAAGAAGTTTCCTTAGTCAGATATGGAAATGCCAAAGACAGTACCTTCTGGTGTTTTGGAAAAAATCAGAGAGACAGGGAGTGAGGGGAAGGTCAGGGCGAGATTTTGAAGGTTCTTCAAAGGAACTGAAGCTGCTTCTTTAGTTCCATATTTTGGGGTATAATTTTCTGAGCCCCAGTGCAATTTTAGCGGTAGTTAGGATTTCTTGAAAGTGCTCACGATTCTTGAATGCCCACATAAAGGGGAAGATACTGGGCTATTTCTCATTCAGACACAATGAAGAGGAGGCACTTCCCTGTTTCAGGTTCATGTGTCCTACAGAGGGAGTACGGAGATGTTACTGGAAAGGAATCCCAATCCGGACCCCAAAAGAGGGTCCTTGGATTTCACGCAAAAAAGAATTCTGGGCAAGTCCATAGATTAAAGTGAAAGCAAGTTTATTTATTAGGAAAGTAAAGGAATGAAAGAATGGCTACTCCATAGGCAGAGCGACCTGGAGGGCTGCTGGTTAACTTTTTTTTTTTTTTTCTGAGACAGAGTCTTACTCTGTTGCCCAGGCTGGAGTGCAGTGGCGTGATCTCAGCTCACTGCAACCTCCGTCTCCCAGGCTCAAGCAATTCTCTACCTCAGCCTCCCAAGTAGCTGGGATTACAGGCGTCTGCCACCACGCCCGGCTAATTTTTGTATTTTTAGTAGAGACAGAGTTTCACCATCTTGGACAGGCTGGTCTTGAACTCCTGACCTCGTGATCCACCTGCCACGACCTCCCAAAGTGCTGGGATTACAGGCTTGAGCCACCACGCCTGGCCTGGTTAACTATTTTTATGGTTATTTCTTGATGGTATGCTAAACAAGGGGTGGATTATTTATGTTTCCCCTTTTAGACCATATAGGGTGACTTCCTGACATTGCCATGGCATCTGTAAACTGTCATGGCGCTGGTGGGAGTGTAG
Organism: Homo sapiens; assembly: GCF_000001405.40. Lineage (NCBI taxonomy): Eukaryota > Metazoa > Chordata > Mammalia > Primates > Hominidae > Homo > Homo sapiens. Next base: position 25,175,643 of record NC_000002.12, on the reverse strand, counting down.
CAGTGAGGACCAGAGGTCACTCTCTCAGTGGCCATCTTTGTTTTGGTGGGTTTTGGCCGGCTTCTTTACTGCAAACTGTTTTATCAGCAAGGTCTTTATAACCTGTATCTTGTGCCGACCTCCTATCTCATCCAATGACTTAGAATGCCTAACCATCTGGGAATGCAGCCCAGTAGGTCTCAGCCTCATTTTACCCAGTCCCTATTCAAGATGGAGTTGCTCTGGTTCAAACGCCTCTGACAAAGAGGGTTTTGGAGAATCATGAGTTTCTGCAAACTGAGGGTTAAGAGGGAGAGGGTCTCCCTTCCTCATTCATCCCCTCCTACCCTTGCTGTACAAATATTTTTCAAGCACCAACTCTCTACCAGGCACTGATTATGGGAGCTGTGCCCTTAGAGGCAACCGGCACCAGCTGAGCAGCCCAAGGGCCCCTCTAGACCAAACAACAGCAGGAATGAAGAGGCCCTGGCTGAGCCTAAGGAGTTCCGAGAAGGGACAATTGTTATTCCATGAGACAGGGATGGCAGCTGCCCCCAGCTTGTCCATGGAGACTATGGAGAGAGAATGAAGAAGGGCGTGCCAAGGTGGAGCTGGGGCTCCTCGTTCAGACCCTTAAGGCATGAATTGGTGCTTATTCCAGCAAAGTCCCCCACAGACATGAGGCAGCTTCATCCCTAAGTCTTCTCTTCTCCCAGGGTAATGTCCCCCATTGCCAGTCCCAATGCCTGGAGGCTGACAACGAGGCCACCCTCCTTGTACCTCCTTATCCCCTGCCCCATGTTGGGCTCTGCCACCCTGTCCTTGTTTCTGTCCTCTCAGTCATCAGCCTCCCCTGCACCTGCCCTTGTAACGCACTCACACCCTGGTGACATCTCTTTTCCAATTAAAACCTCAAAGGTGAAAAGCTGAGATGATGAGAGCAGCCCCAGCCCTACGTCTACAGCCACCTGGCACGCCCGCAGCCAGGTGCAGGTGCATCGCCCCGGCCCCAGGAGTCCTCACAAGCAGGGTCTCCCAACAAACCCATCAGCTACCCTGTCCAAAAGACCCTGTGTCTGCTCCTGTCTTACCTCCTTCCCTCCTTTCTTCCCTCCTTCCTTCTTTCATTTATTCCTTCCCTCCTTTCTTCCTTCCCTCCCTCCTTCCTTCTTGTCTTCCTTCCTTCTTTCCTTCCCTCCTCCCTTCTTTTATGTCTTCCTTCCCTCCCTTCCTTGCTTCTTCCTCCCTCTCTTTCTCCCTCCTTCCAACCTTGCCTTCTTTCCTTCCCTCCCTCCTTCTACTTCCTTCCTCCCTCTATCCCTCTCTCCCTCTCTCCCTTCCTTCCTTCCTTCCTTCCTTCCTTCCTTCCTTCCTTCCTTCCTCTTCCCTCCTCCCTTCTCACCAACACTCCCATAATATTAAAGTTAAGGGCTAGCAGTTGTACAGGACTAACTAGGGACCAGGCCCTGCTCTAAGATCTTTACATGAATTGCCTCCTTTAATCCATATGACAGATAGTGGTCGAGCTGGAGTATACAAACAAAAAGAAGCTTTTGAGCCCCTGAAATACCATAGGCAGGAAGCAAGCAAGAAAATTATTCAGGTGCAAATCTTGGCTATTATGGAAAAGGAAAGCTAACACAGAGAATAGACCAAGAGCCCAGAGGATGGAACCAAGAGCCCAGAGGATGGAACCAAGAGCTAAGGAGATTCATTCCGGGCAGTGGAACTGCCTTCTGAAGGAACTGGTCACGTGGTCACACGTGCCAGGCCAGATTTCAGAATTTCCTTTTTTCTCTTTTCTCTATTTCTTTCTTTCTTTCCTTTTTTTTTTTTTTTTGACAGAGGCTTGCTCTGTTGCCCAAGCTGGAGTGCAATGGCCTCACTGCAACCTCCGCCTCCCAGGCTTAAGCGATTCTCCTGCCTCAGCCTCCCAAATTGCTGGGATTACAGGTGCAAGCCACCATGTCTGGCTAATTTTTGTATTTTTAGTAGAGATGGGGTTTCACCATGTTGATCAGGCTGGTCTCGAACTCCTGACCTTGCGATCTGCCCGCCTTGGCCTCCCAAAGTGCTGGGATTACAGGCATGAGCCACCACGCCTGGCCCTTTCTGCCATCTTTATCCTTGATCCAACATTACCCTCCACCCACAATCACCATTCAGTTCATAGAGTTTTGTTTTGTTTTGTTTTGTTTTGAAACAGAGTCTCGCTCTTGTTGCCCAGGCTGGAGTGCAGTGGCATGATCTTGGCTCACTGTAACCTCTGACTTCCGGATTCAAGCAATTCTCCTGCCTCAGCTTCCTGAGTAGCTAGGACTACAGACATGCGCCACCATGCCTGGCTAATCTTTGTACTTTTAGTAGAGACGGGATTTCACCATGTTGGCCACAGTGGTCTGGAACTCCTGACCTCAGGTGATCCGCCTGCCTCGGCCTCCCAAAGTGCTGGGATTACAGGCGTGAGCCACTGTGCCCGGCTGAGTTGTGCTGTTTTTATGCCAGGATCAAATGGAGAAATGCACAAAAATAGTGAGGAGATTTAAAAAGCATACTTTTCTCAGTAACTAATAGAATAAGACGACAAATAGCAAGGATATAGGTAGAGAAAGGATATAGAATATTTGAGAATATACAGTCACAGAATACAGTGCAGTGAGACACTTCTTTTGGAGTGCACAGGAAGCCCTAATCAAAATGAGCCCTATGTTTATCTGTTAAGCAAGCCTCAAAAAATTTCGAAGGTCTGAAATCAAACAGAGCATATTCTCTGACTACAAGGGAATTAAGCAAAAAATTAGTTTAAAAACATGACTGGAAAATCCCCAAGGTTTAGAAGTTTTTCTTTTTTTTCTAAGTTGGTAATATGAATTGGAAGGGTTAGAGGTTAAGCAGAATATATTTGAATAACCTATAGGTCAAAGAAGACATCTCAATGAAAATAAAAAGATATTTTGAACAAATGGTAATTGAAATATGACATATCAAAAGTTGTGGGATGCATATAAAGCTGTACTTAGAAAGAAAATATAGCCATAAATACATATGTAAAAAAAGAATAAAGGAGCTGGGCACAGTGGCATGCATCTATAGTCCCAGCTACTAGAGAGACTGAAGTGGGAGGATCACTGGAGCCCAAGAGTTGAAGATGAGTCAAGGCAATATTAAAAAAAAAAAAAAAAAAAAGGAAAAAAATGGTTCAATATCAATTATCTAAGTAAAAGTATTTATTTAATGTCCAACTCATGAGTATAGGAAAAGAATAGCTAATTAAACCCAAAGATGTAGAAGGCACGATATAATAAGAGTAAAAATTTCAGAAATATAAAAAAGTATACATATAGTACAGAAAATTAACAGAACCAAAATGGATTATTAAAAAGACTAATAAAATGGATAACACCCTAAGAAAACTAATCAAGAGGCCAGGCACAGTGGCTCACGCCTGTAATCCCAGCACTTTGGGAGGCTGAGGCCGGCAGATCACCTGAGGTCAGGAGTTTGAGACCAGCCTGGCCAATATGGAGAAACCTCATCTCTACTAAAAATACAAAAAATAAGCCAGATGTGGTGGCACATCCCTGTAATCCCAGCTACTTGGGAGGCTGAGGCAGGAGAATTGCTTGAACCCGGGAGGCGGAGGTTGCAGTAAGCCGAGATCATGCCATTGCACTCCAGCCTGGGCAATAAGAGTGAAAGTCTGTCTCAAAAAGAAAAAAGAAAATGAATCAAGAAAAAAGAGAACACAAATAACCAATATCAGAGATGAAAAGGGCCAAAACCACAGATCCCAGATGCTTAAAATATATAATAAACAATTTTAAGCCAATAAATTAAAGAATTTAGATGAAATAGACAAATTCCTAGAAATACATATCTGACTCAAACTGACACATGAAGAAGTAGACAATTGAAATAGTGCCACTTAAGTAATTGAATTTGTAATGGTTTAAAACATTTTTCCTTCTTTTTTCCAGCTCCAGCTGAAAGGATTGATTCTGTAATTAAAAACTTCAATGAACAAACAATCTTAAAGATTTAGATGGCATCACTGGTGAATCATCCCAAACATTTAAGGACGAGATAACACCATTATACGCAAATTATTCTACTTAATTATAAAAAGGGGGAGGGAAGATGGATTTCCAACTTGTTTTATGAGAACAGCATAATTTTTTGATACTCAAATTAGACAAGAATTCCACAAGAAAGGAAAATTACAGGCCCATCTCATGAACATCAATGCAAATGTCTTAAATAAAATATTAGCAAATTGAGTCCAGTGCTTTCTGTATAAGGATAATACATCATAATCAAATTGGGTTTAATCTAAGAAGCCATGGTAGGTTTAACACCAAAAAATCAACAATGCAATAATTCACCACATTACTAGAATAAAGGTGAAAAATTATGTCATGTCAGACAATCAAAGGCACCTGTTCTAGGCTTTCAAAGAGGAGCTAGTGGTACAAGGATGCAAGGGCAGTGGTGACTCCTTTCTAGTGGCATTAGCTGAAGTGAGAATGGCAGCGTCCCATCCTGGGGACAGAAGTGACGTCTATGTCAGACGCCTGTGGTCTTGACATGCCCCTTGTGGCCCCTTGTGGTCTGTTTTTTTTTTCTCCACTGGATGTGATTTTGGCCATGGTTCCAGCCACACTGTGTCCCTGCCCATTTTTAGATCCTGGTCCCCCAACCTGCCCAGTGATTTTTTTTTTTTTTTAGATGGAGTCTTGCTGTGTCGCCAGGCTGGAGTGCAGTGGCGCGATCTCGGCTCACCGCAACCTCCGCCTCCCAGGTTCAAGCGATTCTCCTGCCTCAGCCACCCGAGTAGCTGGGACTACAGGTGTGCGCCACCACGCCCGGCTAATTTTTGTATTTTTAGTAGAGACGGGGTTTCGCCATCTTGGCCAGGAATGTCTCCATCTCTTGACCTCGTGATCTGCCCAACTCAGCCTCCCAGAGTGCTGGGATTACAGGCGTGAGCCACTGTGCCCCGCCTACCCAGTGATTCTAAATGCAGTTCAATGGCCTTTCAGTTCATGGAGGCCAAAGCAGGTTCTGCTGCATTAAATTAAGAAACTGGGCTGGGTGTGGTGGCTAACACCTGTAATCCCAGCACTTCAGGATACTGATGTGGATTACTTGAGCCCAGGAGCTTGAGACCAGCCTAGGCAACATAGTGAAACCCTGTCTCTACCAAAAACAAAAACAAAAACAAAACAAAAAACCAAAACCCAAAATTAGCTGGGCATGGTGGCATGCATCTGTGGTTCCAGGTACTCAGGAGGCTGAAGCATGAGGATCACTTGAGCCCAGGAGGTGGAGGCTGCAGTGAGCAGTGTTCACACTGCTGCATTCCAGCCTGGGCAACAGAGTGAGACCCTAATTCAAAAACAAACAAACAGAATGAGAGAGAGAGAGAAGAAAAGAAAGAAGGAACCCAGTTAAAGAAGTTGGGTCCATTTGGATTTTTCCTGGTTTGTTTTATCTGCTGCCACCAGCAGCCTCCTGAAGTTACAAAAATAACACAAAGTAAAATAAGGCAAAACCACCATCTGCTTGAAAGAGTTTACAAACCTGATGGTGGTCGTGGGGTGGATGGAAGATTAAAAAAATGGGGACAGAAGTGAATTAGTGCAAGCCACTTGCACTGACAAGATGGGGATGGACTTCTGTGGAAGGCAGAGGAGGTCATGCCTCATGCCCCTGGTAGGAAAAGTGGCCAAAGAGGGCTTCAGAGAACAGGGGCTGATGGATGGGCTACATCTTGATGTGAGTCAAGCTCCTGGATGGCTGGAGAGAGGAAGGATGTTCTAGTTGGGGGAACAGCTTGGACAATGGAGACCCAAGAAAGCCATGTTCTAGCAGTGTGAATGTTGTGGATGCTGAAGTGCCAGGATGCAAGGTGGAGAACTGGGAAATGGCCCTGGAAAGGGGCCAAAGCCGGGTGATGAAGCACCTTGTCTACTGTGACGGAGCTTGGATCTCTCTTGTGGTCCAAAGGGAAAGGATTGCTGAATGTAAAGCCAATGTCACCAGAAAAGCTGAATCCACAAGAGAGTCCTGGAGTCCAAAAGAGCATCTCATGGGGAATCAGGAAAGTTCTGGCATTTGGCAGATTAAGCAAGTGTCTTGATTTGAAGTCCAGTTTAGTCCCAATACTCCCTCCCACACCCACCACATCGCACAATTTGGTTTTGTTTATTTACTCCAGGTTAAGGTAGAGTCTCTTAGCTTGGTTTGAGTGCTGTACTCTTCTCTCTGGTCTGATATTTGGAACTAAAGCCAAGCCAGAACTCCAGGGCCAAGGGGGATGTTGAAAATTGTCTGAGTCCCCAGACCACCCTGCCAGCTCATGGCAAAGGGAGGGATCAGAGGCCACAGGGAAAGCACTTCAGCTGCTCTTCACAGCATCACCCTCTCCCCATTTAATGGTTTAGGTTAACAGGACTTTTTCCTTGAGGCTTGGGACACGGAAGGGAGCCTCCCCTAAACCAGGCCCTTGGAGAGCAGGCCCCAGGGGAGCAGTGCAACTCACCTTCACACCCACAAGACGGCTCCTGACTTCTGCTCCCTCCTCCCCTCCCCAAAGTGGAACAGAGAGAATATGATTCCCCACGACTTCCACATCACAGTTTCCAAACAATGGGGAAATCGGAGGCCTCCCCGTGTGCAGACGGTGATATTTACCGCCAAATGCGAACCAGGCAGATGCCAGCCCCAGCACGCACGCAGGTAACTTCACCCTCGCCTCAACGACCTCAGAGGCTGCCCGGCCTGCCCCACACGGGGGTGCTAAGCCTCCCGCCCGTTCTAAGCGGAGACCCAACGCCATCCATAATTAAGTTCTTCCTGAGGGCGAGCGGCCAGGTGCGCCTTCGGCAGGACAGTGCTAATTCCAGCCCCTTTCCAGCGCGTCTCCCCGCGCTCGTCCCCCGTCTGGAAGCCCCCCTCCCACGCCCCGCGGCCCCCCTTCCCCTGGCCCGGGGAGCTGCTCCTTGTGCTGCCGGGAAGGTCAAAGTCCCGCGCCCACCAGGAGAGCTCGGCAAGTATATAAGGACAGAGGAGCGCGGGACCAAGCGGCGGCGAAGGAGGGGAAGAAGAGCCGCGACCGAGAGAGGCCGCCGAGCGTCCCCGCCCTCAGAGAGCAGCCTCCCGAGACAGGTAAGGGCGCAGCGTGGGGGACCCGTGCTCTTTCCCCGGGATCCCCTGTCCCCGTCCTCGCGATGCAGTCGGCCGGCTCCGGCTCCGAAGGCGGACCTGGGCGCCTCTGGCTCTCCGCGGTCCCGAGTTCTCGACAAACTTTCTGCGCCGACTGCGGCATGAGAAGCCGCCAGTAGCTGAGCTGGAGGGCCCACGTCCGGCCCCTGGGCGGACGGCCGCGAAGCTGCAGGCGCTGTCTCCAGGGAGCCGGCGGCCTCCTCTCCCCCAGGGGCTCGCGGCGGTCCGGAGGCTCCGAGAGCTTGCTAGGAGGTCTTGGGACAACCCGGTCTTTTTTTTTTTTTTTGAGACGGAGTTTCGCTCTTGTTGCCCATGCTGGAGAGCAAAGGGGTGATCTCTGCTCACCGCAACCTTCGCCTCCCGGGTTCAAGCGATTCTCCTGCTTCAGCCTCCCGAGTAGCTGGGATTACAGGCATGCGCCACCACGCCCGGCTAATTTTTGTATTTTTAGTAGAGACGGAGTTTCTCCATGTTGGTCAGGCTGGTCTCAAACTCCCGACAACAGGTGATCCGCCCGCCTTGGCCCCCCAAAGTTCTGGCATTACAGGCGCGAGCCACCGCCCCCGGCCAGCCCGGTCTTTTAGTATCTCTTGCTCCCAGTTTCCAGGATAGGTGTCACATCTTGAAAGTCAAATTCCATACACGCTATCGCAAATTAATGTTGGAAACGGGGCAGCAGAGAAAAGGATAAAAGTCATAATGAACGCCCTGCCTTCCGGATTTTTTCGGATTCAGACCCCTGAATCCTTGTTTCCTTGCCCACCTTAGCGCACCCGAGGTGGCCGCGCTATGATAATTACATGATAACTGGGTCAATTACAATGCAGAATAGTTGGGTCTCTTCTCTCCAAGACCTAGCTGGGGTTAAAAACAGGTGGCCGGGGCGGGAGCTGTCCTAGATCCTGAAACGCACTGTCTAGTTTCGGATGCCCTCAACAGAACCGGGGTGGACGGTTTATGGCGCAGATCCTGGGTTGAGGGCACGGGCAGCCATTTGGAATGATCAAGGCTCAGGTAAGGGGCGTTTCCAGCGAAGGAGAGACAGTCCACTTGGCATTTGGATTCCCCAAATTCTTCATGTTTAAATGGGGCAGGGAGGGTTCTTACAGAATGGCTGGAAGGAGCCAAGGAAAATAAAAGTGTGTGTGGATTTTTTTTGTGTGTGTGTCAGTTTATAAACTCTGCACAGATTATGGCCACTTTAATGACTTACTGTTCCTTTGATGCTTTTGTTATAGGACTCGATGCATGTATGTCATGGTGTAAGGACAAAACTCGGCCCCTGTGCTCCTCTAATCTTTACAAAAGGTCATGGCCAGCGTGCAGTTTTACAGTAACAAGCAAAATGATTTGTTGAGCTCATAGAGAGCCCCTCACACCTATGAAGTTCTAATAAGTGTAGTTCTACTATAAAGTTAATCTCAGGATGAGCAAATTTCAAGTTTCTATTTTTCCAGAGCTTTCCATTTTTGGATTATAATACTTTCCCTACTTAAAAAAGCACAACATTTGATATTTCCCCAATAATTTGTTGCTTTAAAAATGACACAAAAGGTACTATTTGTTCATTGTAGAGAACTGAAAATACACATAAGCAAATACACATACACATAAGCAAAATATACAATACAAACACAAGACCATCTTTCAGGGAAGAATCTGAAGTTTTAGCAATAGCAGCCATCTAACCAGTTTAGCAACAGAATATAAGCTCTGAGAGGGTGGGAGTGAATATGTTACCACATTGTACAACACAGCACATAGGGCATAAGGAGGGGAAATGCTCTCTGGGGCTTTCCAGGAAGGCCTGAAGTCATTGCTTCTAGCAAATGGAAATCACTCCAGAGTAGTTATCTTTGACAAGAATTGAAATATAATTGAGGGAACTATCAGACCTGTAAGATTTTGTTTTTTCCTTTACTAATATGTTACTTTACATTTGCATTTGGTGACATACGTAACTACCATTTTTCTGTGACTGTAACATCTGGGCATTTTTCAGAGCTAAATGTGCTATGGTCAACTTGGAGCTTTAATCTAATTGCCTGGTCCACCAAGTTCTGGCTGTGTACTTGAATAGATCACTGGCAGGGTACAATGGGAACAGCCTGTCCCTTGGAGCCAGGAGAGGACACCAAGGTTGACCAAAGCTCGTTCAGTTGCCCCTTTAGCCGAAGCGCACCTGGGCCAGTCACTGGCTGCCAGTGCCATCTAATGGCTGCTCTGAAAATGCTCAGCCTTGCCCGGCAACCCTTCAGAAGCTAGCACCGTGCAGGCCCAGCGCCTGGGGAATAGGGCGAGGGTGGGGTAGAGAGAAGGAAGTGGCCTCCTGAAGTAGAAATCAGCGCTTCAGAGGACTTTCACTTCCAAAGCCTCCCCTATATAAAAAAGATTTGGCCCACGCCTCCCCAAATGAGAGATTTATTTTAGGCAAACTTATTTTAAAATGCCAGCGTTCATTAGGAGTGACAAGACACTTAGTCATCCACGCTTTAATGTGAATTACTTTTCTCATCTAATTACATTTCTTTCTAGCAGCTGGCTGAGAAGATCTTCTGAAATCCAAAATGATTGTAGGGTTGGCGGTGAGCTGATCTCCGGCCTCGAGGTGGCTTCAGGGGGCCCACCTGGTTAAGGGAAATTTGGCAGTGCGAGGGTAGTGCTGGAGAGAGGGGTGGGTACAGGGGGCTAGGGGCACCATGGATGCCCCCTCCTTACTGTCCCCTGGTGTCTTGACCTCAGCTTCTGCCCACAGGCACTTGCTGGATTCTCCAAAAGTATCTGCAGTGGCTGTTCCACCAGGAGGTAATTCCCTTCTGGTCTCTTTCCCCTCCACATCTGCATCCTCTTCAAATCCTGCCATTTCAGACCACATTTGAGAGCTCTAGAGAACAAGACATCTGACACGTGACGTGTCCAGAAGATGAGCCAGATTTCAAAGAACTGAGATCTGCTTTAAAAACGAAGCTCTCCAAAGTTACTGGAGTCTGGGTAATAGTGATCACCAGAGTAATTTGTGTGCAGGACATCAAATCAGGCTGCTCGAAATGCTGCCTAAATTGGCCAGTGGTTTTATTTGCTTTTCTGTCAACCTAATATTCATAGGAAATAGAGTTTCAGAGGAATGATAGGATCCTGGTGGAATAAAAAGGGAAAAGACCATCTTGAGCAGGAGTTTCAGGGTCCTCCGTTTTTCCCAAGTTACTTTCACTCCTGAGATCTTGCATGTTAGAACTACAGCTTAATGTAGTGAAATAGGAAAGTTCTCTGTTAGGAGCTTAGCCTTACCTTGTCATGGACATTAAAGTAATTGTCTCTCTTTGGGCTTCAATTTTCCCATCTCTCATGGGAAGGGCTGAACCAAGCAATCCCCAAAATAGCTTCCAGCCTTAACCTTTTTAGGGGTCTCGTTTAAATAGAAGATAACAGGGAAATGGTCACAGTTTACCCACCATTCCCTCCTCCTTATCACAACTTATACCACCGCTGTACTGCACACCTCCTTTCTCAGCATTGCTGCTGTCCTTAAAATGCCTTTAACTCCACAAGAGAGTGTGTTGTTAATGTTGGCTCAAGGTCCTTCCTGGTGAGTGGCCAACATTGTTTTGCTCCTTGCAGGGGTCCCACCAATCTTGTTTGCTTCTGCAGAGCCTCAGCCTGCCTGGAAGATGCCGAGATCGTGCTGCAGCCGCTCGGGGGCCCTGTTGCTGGCCTTGCTGCTTCAGGCCTCCATGGAAGTGCGTGGCTGGTGCCTGGAGAGCAGCCAGTGTCAGGACCTCACCACGGAAAGCAACCTGCTGGTACGTGGGCCATGACTGCCATCTTGGCTTAGACATTAGATGGGACTGGAGCTGGGAAAGCTCAAAAGAAAAGGGTGTGGGGAAAGGGAAATTCATTCCCAGTGATAGGCGTGATTCAATCCAGGGCAGGAGCAAAACTTTGCAGTGAAGTAAGAAATGGGAGAAGAAATCAGGGAAGGAAGCAGCTTCAGGGAGAGGGGTTGAGTCCACAATTTCTGCTTGGTTATCCTTACTTCTTGCCCCATCTTTTATGGAGACCTTGAACCCTTTAAGCTAGAGATGGTGCTATAAGAGCAATAATGGACCCCTCAATCTATTCTGTACTTTAAATCTTTAGCTTCCCAAACTATTCCTTTTTAAGAAGCTCATATCACTTGCCATTTTCATTCCATATTTCTTACCCTTTTATCTACTACCGGTTGCAAAACCAGCCAGGTAGTTCTTCAAATCATCTCTGGAAGAAGGAAAAACCAGGGGCCCTTTTTTTTTTTTCTTTAATTGGTGCCAAATGTCTCATGTTTATTCTGGAGGACTGGCCTTCTGCTGTGTTCCTCTACAGTCTTTCCAGAGCATGTGAAGGCCCTTTGCATCAGGCAGGAGCTCCCTCCAGGTCACCACAGGGTGTATGTATCTGCCTGTGGGGGGTGTGTGTGTGTGTGTGTTGGGGGGCATAAATGAGTAATGATGCCAAATCCAGAGATTAAAAGGCACACTGAGACCAGGCGAGATGGCTCATGGCTGTAATCCCAGCACTTTTAGATGCTAAGGTGGGAGGATTGCTTGAGCCCAGGGATTCAAGACAAGCCTGGGCAACATAGTGAGACCTCCACTTCTACAAAAAATAAAAAAGTTAGCCAGATGTGGTGGCATGTGCCTGTAGTCCTAGCTACTTGGGAGGTTCACTTGAGGCCAGGAGTCTGACGACACAGTAAGCTATGATCACACCATTGCACTCCAGTCTGGGTAACAGAATGAGACCTTGTCTCAAAACAAAACAAAATGAAACAAACAAACAAACAAACCCCCATACTGTTAGTGTCAGTGACCGGAATTTTAATCTTGTTGCCATCACCTGGCAGGTGCTGAGGGTGGAATGTACATAACTACATTCTGTGTATTTTGTCAATGCAGAAGCTGAGTTAAGGTGAAGATAGAATGAGGTCCTCAAAGACACAGACCAGTTTTCATGTGTAATATAAAATAGAAACAAAGAGCCCAGGGGATTCTGTGAGTTCCAGTTTGGAAAGACCCAAGAGTCTCTTGACTTGAGACACCCACAGCACAGCTCACCAGGGAGGGTGCACTGGACACAGTCAGGACCCATGGGTTCTAGACCCAGTTTTGAGGTGTGGGACCTTGACCAGGTCCTATCACCTCTCTGAGTCTCCTGTTTCACTATCTGTCCACGGGAGGGGAGTGTAAATTAGTTTTTTCCATTGTTAACGTTCCACAGAGTTGTAATTCTGAACACCTGGAGTAGGCAATGTCCAGCTCAACAGAGTGGGTAGGATCCTTTTATTTTCTCCTTTGCTATTCCCAAGAAAGAGAGCAGCCAGTGAGCTTTTCATCTTTTTATCACTGAAAACTCAAGGCTGCAGCCTATGCAGCCATTTTCCTAAGCTAATATGTACCACAATAGAGTCCTCTAGGGACAAGGAGCAGAGACACAGGTTCCACAGACGGTGCAATGGAAATAACGCTAGCTTTCCACCCCTCCCTCCAGTCAGAATGAGATTACAGGGAAATAAGCTTGCCCCAGAGCTCACTGGGGGATCTCTCAGAAATCAGCTCAGAAGTCGTGAAAGAACCAAGGTGCAGTTTTGGAGGCTTAGTGCAGAGATGGAGCTGGGGTAGGGCATAAAGTAGGTTTTTCATCACTGAGGTAAGGTTGAGGCATTATTTTTTATTTTTTGTTTATTTATTTATTTTTTTGAGACGGAGTCTCGCTCTATCACCCAGGCTGGAGTGCAGTGGCGCGATCTCCCCTCACTGCAAGCTCCACCTCCCAGGTTCACACAGGTTGAGGCATTATTAAAAATATGTTTAAAAATATGGGCCCTAGTAGCCAGACTTCTATCACCTGGAGAGATTATCCCCCAAATTTCAGCCCCACTCCCCTCCTGGACTTGAATTAAACCATATGTATTTATTCAATATTCTTTTTATTTATTTATTTATTTTTTTGAGACGGAGTCTTGCTCTGTTGCCCTGGCTGGAGTGTGGAGTGCAGTGGTGTGATCTTGGCTCACTGCAACCTCTACCTCCCAGGTTCAAGCGGTTCTCCTGCCTCAGGCTCCAGAGTAGCTGGGATTACAGGCGCCCGCCACCACACCCAGCTTATTTATTTATTTATACTAGAGATGGTATTTCACCATAGTTGGCCAGGCTGGTCTTGAACTCCTGACCTCATGTGATCTGCCTGCCTTGGCCTCCCAAAGTGCTGGGATTATAGGTGTGAGCCACCGTGCCCGGCCCTCAATATTCATTAAGTGCCAACAACTACCACCCGTCTGCCTTTCTTGGAGCCACTCCTTTATGTCAGGCATATAACAGTAAGACTTTGGTCCTGTTCACAAAAGCTAGGGGTGGCTAGATGGCTAGACAAACCATGGAATGGGATGGGAAGTGTGTTGCAGTTGCCAGGCAGAAGCATGAAGGGGATGGGACAAAAGAGGCAGTGGCAAGATCTTAGATGCCCACGAGTGCCAAGAAAGCAGGTGGGCAGACCTGCTCTGTAGGGAGGCCTCGACGCTTGACACGCCCGACACTGTGCCCTGTGTCCTCGGCACGTGGCGAGGGCGGCCAGGGCCTAGGCGCAGTGACGGGCGCGGCAGCCGGGCCGGGGTGCGGGGCACGGGCTGCCCTCATGCCCTCGCGTCTTCCCCCAGGAGTGCATCCGGGCCTGCAAGCCCGACCTCTCGGCCGAGACTCCCATGTTCCCGGGAAATGGCGACGAGCAGCCTCTGACCGAGAACCCCCGGAAGTACGTCATGGGCCACTTCCGCTGGGACCGATTCGGCCGCCGCAACAGCAGCAGCAGCGGCAGCAGCGGCGCAGGGCAGAAGCGCGAGGACGTCTCAGCGGGCGAAGACTGCGGCCCGCTGCCTGAGGGCGGCCCCGAGCCCCGCAGCGATGGTGCCAAGCCGGGCCCGCGCGAGGGCAAGCGCTCCTACTCCATGGAGCACTTCCGCTGGGGCAAGCCGGTGGGCAAGAAGCGGCGCCCAGTGAAGGTGTACCCTAACGGCGCCGAGGACGAGTCGGCCGAGGCCTTCCCCCTGGAGTTCAAGAGGGAGCTGACTGGCCAGCGACTCCGGGAGGGAGATGGCCCCGACGGCCCTGCCGATGACGGCGCAGGGGCCCAGGCCGACCTGGAGCACAGCCTGCTGGTGGCGGCCGAGAAGAAGGACGAGGGCCCCTACAGGATGGAGCACTTCCGCTGGGGCAGCCCGCCCAAGGACAAGCGCTACGGCGGTTTCATGACCTCCGAGAAGAGCCAGACGCCCCTGGTGACGCTGTTCAAAAACGCCATCATCAAGAACGCCTACAAGAAGGGCGAGTGAGGGCACAGCGGGGCCCCAGGGCTACCCTCCCCCAGGAGGTCGACCCCAAAGCCCCTTGCTCTCCCCTGCCCTGCTGCCGCCTCCCAGCCTGGGGGGTCGTGGCAGATAATCAGCCTCTTAAAGCTGCCTGTAGTTAGGAAATAAAACCTTTCAAATTTCACATCCACCTCTGACTTTGAATGTAAACTGTGTGAATAAAGTAAAAATACGTAGCCGTCAAATAACAGCAGCATGGATCGGAGGAGCACAGTGGTTTCCATGCGGTAGGATATTTCACAGGACTTAGTGAGCGTGAAAGGAAAATGTGCTTCCTGCCCCCACCCCCAAATGGATCTTCGAGGGATCAGATAGTTTGGGTGAAGGCACAGGGTGGCTCCAGCACCTCTAGGATGGCCGTATTTTCCACACACTCCACTGAGTGGGAGACTGCTCAGCTAGCACACGTGTAAAGGCAGGATTCCTGCAAGAGTGACCCCGGGCGCTCAGGGGCTCCCCGGCTCCGGTCCACCTCCAAAAGCCAGTTGGACAGGTTGAGGCCTACCCACGCCTGGGAGTGCTCTGGACTGTCAGGTGAGAAGTCTTGGTAATGTCTCCGGGGAACTGCTCGTAGCAATCCATGGGACCTTAGGCAAGTCTCTGAACTTCTCCAAAATTTAGTTCTTTCATCTACCCCTCCCTTCCCAGTATGAGGGTTATTGTGAAGATTAAAGGAGAAAATGGACATAATCTTCTTTTTATCATAGAAGCTAAGTGTGAGAGCTGAGGGTTAGTATCAGTTCCAATTTCACTCCCAGGCTACTCACAGATACGCTCAGACATACGGTCTCTCTCACACACACACACTCATGGAGACACACATCTGTTTAATACAACATACTCTACGCAGTTGCTTCTTCCAGCCCCTAGGGCTTAAGCCCTGACTCAGGCCCTCTGACCCCTCCTGCCGTGCCCAGGCTCCTCCCTCCCCGCGTGTTTCAGCTCCAGCCCTTCTCATCCTTAGTACTTCCCCCAGGCCTCTCTGATAACAGCTTCCCAACCAACTGGTCTCCTAGTTTCCAGCTGCTCTCCCCAGCCCATCATATACGAATTCTTCACGTTAGTTTACACAAAATCTTGCTTTTTCCCACAGTCCCAGGCTCAAGAGTCAAAACAGTGCCCCCACCCCAATTTCTGTCAATTCCAAACTACTAAGCATGGTGGGCAGGGCCCTTGTAGACGGGCACTCTCTCCTTACCAAACCCTGCTTCCCAAGTTTCCCCGGATGAAGGCGCTGCCTCACACTCGTTGGTCTCCTCACAGGTCTCGCATCCTCCTATACCCTCTGCCTGGAACCCCCCACCTTCCCCTGCCATTTTGTTGTCATTGTTGTTGTTTTTGAGATGGAATCTCGCTCTGTCACCCAGGCTGGAGTGCAATGGTGTGATCTCATCTCACTTCAACCTCCGCCTCCTGGGTTCAAGCAATTCTCCTGCCTCAACCTTCCAAATAGCTGGGATTACAAGAGTGCGCCACCACGCCCGGCTAACTTTTGTATTTTTAGTAGAGATGGGGTTTCACCAAGTTGGCCAGGCTGGTCTTGAACTCCTGACCCCAGGTGATCTGCCCACCTTGGCCTCCCAAAGTGCTGGGGTTACAGGCTTGAGCCACTGCGCCTGGCCAGAAAGCCAGATTCTTAAGACAAGGTGTTCCCCAGTATGGCTTACATGGAATGTGCTAGAATGAATAATGGCCTAGGCCTTCCTGAGGATGCTCCCATGCTGGGCATGCTGGGCCTGAGGTTTCCATCTTGGTAGCCTCCTTTCCCCCACACCTTCTCCCTCTGAGACAGGTAAAGTCATGGTTGGTGGAGGTGGCTAAATGTCAGTGGTATACTGTTGGTATTTTCAGATCCCGTTTGCTTCTCAAAAAAACCATTTACTTTAAAGAAATCAAACAGACAGCCATGTGGTGACAACATTAACATTTATTTGAAAAGGGCATCGTGATGGCTCACTGGGAGATCGCGACTAATAGTCCTAGAGAATGATTTTGCTAAGAATCCTTCTTCCTATACTTCCCCCCACTCCGCCTTTCCCACTTCCCTAAAATAAAACTAACCAATTCAATGGGTTTAAAATACAGAAAACCGCCACGGGCACTAATTCTGCACTCACATATAAATACACCAGCTATTATATACACATATTGTCAACTACAAACTATACTACACACACATGCACACACACAGCCAGGTCGTGAGGCTCTAAGTGGACACAGACACATTACGAGATATGGGCTACAGCATTTGTGGATTCACAACTCTGCCTCCACGCGCCAGAAATCAACAGTCATGGGGGGAGAGCTTGGAAGGGGAAGGTGACTGGCTTGGGCGGCCCCATGGTCCCCTGAAGTACAGGAGACCTGGCCAGCCAGGCTGGGGCTAAAGGGAGCACAGAAAACTGCCTTTGGCCCCAGCAGGGCCACAAAGCCCTTCCTGCCGCCCTCCTGTCCCTGCCATACCGCGTCTTCCAGCTAGCCAGGCTCTAGGATGGGCCCATCATGACTATCCTGCAGTCTTCAGACCTAGGCCAGATTTGGGGTAAGGGGCCACTCTAACCAGAAGATTTCTAGGGTTAATGGGATGAAGAGGCAACATGTTGCCCTAAACCTTTCCCCAGGTGTGAGGGAGATGCCTGGTTTCAGCACGACCCGCCTGCCAAGGTCTGGGGTCACAGGAAGTGGGCCTGGCCTGCCCTGATGATGCCATCTCCCTGTCTACCTTTAAACCTAGTGTCTACCTAACAGCCCAGGTTAGCCCTTTCCCACAGGACCCCAACCGGCCAGCTGCCATTTTCTGGTCATGAAGAGGAATTGGGAAAAATAGACTCACTTCTGCAGGGCACTCTCTGTCACCAGGTCAGGAGGCCTGGGGACAATGGAATGGAAACTGCAAGGCATCATGTCCCAGGGCCCCCAGAGGAGCCCAGAGGTCTGGCCTGAGCTGTTCAGAAGAACCCCTGGCTAGTCTGATTCTTAGTCCAGCTGAAACGTGTTCTGTGTGATCTAGAACACCCAGGGCAAAGGGCGGCACATCTATGACACTTGTGCTTCTTCAAGTACTTCAGTGAGTCCAGGCCTCCTCTTTTCCTGCTCATCCATTGATATCTGTGTATGGGAAAGGGGGCTGGACAGAGGGGGGTATCTGAGGACTTTTCTAGTTCTTCTGACCTGCTCAGGCTCCTTCTATAGTGAGGAGGCTGTTTAGGAGTCAAGAAACCACTGATTTCTACTTTTCAAAGAGAGAGGGAAATGGAAACAGGCACAAGGCGCTGGGGACTCCATGGCAAGGAAAACAGAGGGAGCCTCGGGACCACACTGATGCTTTCTGCCGATCTGCCTCTTATCCATTCACCTGACTCCACCAAATTAACAGTACTTCCAAATCTCAAATACATTCCTGCCTACTCAGTGCTGTCAGCAGAGTCCTGACCAATGCTAGCCCTTCCCCACACAGCTAGAGTCCTCGGGCTTTGGGAGCAGCCGGTCTCAATGGGCTTACTGACTCCTCTTCGCTCAAAATCACATCAGAGAAGGGTGGCAAAAAGGGGCACAATGCAATGCCACTAGCCTCCAGGGGCTTGGAAGGGCAGGACTCACTGATGCTAGACCAAGGGCCAGGGTACCTCCCTCCCCTCCAGATCCCATCAAACTGCTTTGCCTCTCTCCCAGGGCCTGTGCTGGGGTGAGGAGATTACCTACTATCACACTCACCTTCACCTTTCCGATTCTGGCCTATTTGGCCAGAATCCAGGTTCTACTCCATGTCAGCAGACAACCCAACACTCTACTGAGTGTAAGTTTAAACAAAACTGAGAAGAGGGCACTCAAAAAAAATGACCAGTTCTTCAAAAGAAGCACATTTTTGCTAAGCGGCAGTGATGGAAAGGAAAAGCTGCCTGGGACCGGTGGAGAGGAAACAGCAGAATCTATGCAGAATGGGAACCTGCACCTTTTCTGTCTCTCTATTCACAGGATGGGGATGAGGGGCAGAAACATCTGGGGATCTCAGGTTCTAATGCTGGCTCTGGAAAGATGCTCCAGGGAGGCGACTGCCAAGTCCCAGAACCAGGGCTCACAGGCAGTGCTCAGGATGAAGCTGCCACGGGGAACCCTAATGTTAAGTAGGCACAAGAAACAGTGGGTCTCTCATCCAAGCTGGGTGCAGGATAAAACCTGGGAGGAGCTAGTGAGGAAAGAACATGTTTGTGGCTCAAGATTTCAATTTTCTTTAAAGTTTCTTTCAGAGGTTAGTTGCTGTCAAGTTTGAGTTAATTTAAACTTGGTTTTTAAATATATAAATACTAAAGAGAAGTCTAAGTTCATGCTTGTAAAATTGGGTTGAGTATAAGCCAGAGGCCATAAAGCACAGCCAAAAAGCCTTGGGGGTGCAGGAGCCTCCATGCCTGGGCCCTGCCCTCACTCAGGCCATTCAGAAGCCACGTGCCAAGCAGGCGCAGTGGCTCACGCCTGTAATCCCAGCACTTTGAGAGGCTGAGGCGGGCGGATCACTTGAGATCAGGAGTTCCAGACCAGCCTGGCCAACACGGTGAAACCTCATGTCTACTAAAAACACAAAATTCGCCAGGCGTGGTGGTGCACGCCTGTAATCCCAGCTACTCAGGAGGCTGAGGCAGGAGAATCACTTGAACCCAGGAGGCGGAAGTCACAGTGAGTTGAGGTCACACCATTGTACTCCAGCCTGGGTGACAGAGCGAGACGGTGTCTCAAAAAAAAAAAAAAAAAAAAAAAAACAAGAAAAAGAAGCTGTGTGCCCACAGCAGAGATGGTGACCACAAGGAAGAGCTTCATTTGAAGTGCCAAAACTATGGGAATGAGGGTCAAATAGCCCCTTCCCCAAGACATTTATTGCACATATTAATGGGAAATGCTCGTGTTCAGTCCCTCCCCGATTCTGGAAAATACATCCACCTAACAATCAGGCTCTCCCTGCACATCCGTGCACACCACACGTGGGGCTATGAGCTGAGGCCGTCCTGAGAAGCCTGCCCTCCCCTGAGGAGAAACAGCCTGCTTCTGACTCCATGCCACACTGCCTGAAATTGTACCCTAAAAAGGGATTCTCAGCTACTCAGGAGGCTGAGGTGGGAGAATCACTTAAACTCAGGAGTTCGAGGCCAGCCTGGGCAACATAGTGAGACCCCCATCTCTAGAAAAAAAAAAAAATTAAAAACGGATTCCTTTGGATCAAGAAATCTACTCACCCTGCCTCCTTTGGAAAGCAGACTCCAGGGAGAGAACGTCTGACACTCACATCTTACTGTAGGTTATGTTGGCTCGGAGGAGTTATGGGAAATGTGACTAACGGAGAAGGAAAGGGCAATTTTGGACCACATGGCACTGCCATGGGAGGAGCCCCAGGTGAGGTTCTGTCAGTGGCACCCCGGGAGACACAAAGGCACCTGGAGGAGGGGCCGGGAAGGGGAATTGGCAAAGAAGGCAACAAACTGCCTCCTGGGTGGCTCTGCCCGGCTCCGCGTTAGCTCCTCTCTGCACATCCTCATTACACAGAGACACAGACGGCACACCAGGAAAACAGGAACCCAGAACCCAAAGGGGTCTCCATGGCTCCTCCCAAGCCACAAGCGTTGCCAGGTGGTGCTGATGTCCCAGACTTTGTCCAGAGAGTGAAGAAATCATTCCAATATTAGGTGTTAGATCCTTCTTTCTTCAAACGGAACATCCAAAAAGTTGGCTTCTGATATCCTTGAGCCCCAAAACACCACTCATCCCACCCTCCCCACTCTCCTACAACCCAGGTCAGGCTGGGAGCCTTTTCCATAGGAGGTGATGTGGGCAAATCTTGGGGACCCTGTAGTTCCCCTCCAAGATTATCTTGCTCTGCCTTTCCTCAACCCAGAAGCTCCAGGAACACCTTGGGACCCTCAGAAGAAAGACATCAAAGAGAGAGAACCCAACTCTGAAAAACGTCCAGCAGACAGGACTGTGGGAGGCCAACACAAGCTCCTTATGAACAAAGGAGGTGGGAAGCTGCTGCAGGGACCACACTCGCCCGCTGGGCCTGCTGATGCCACAGGCCCACCTCCTGCCAGCCCTGCATCCTGCTTCCTGCCCTTTGCTGTCCCCCGACCCCTCGTGATGTCTCCACCCCAGCTCCTGTTATAAGGGCTCAGCATTCATTAATAGTAGAAAGAAACATGAACAGACAACTGGGAGATGAGCAAGAGAGTGAGAGACACAGCAGGGACATGGGCGGGGAGCAGGGGGAGTGCTGGGGAGGAGAGAGCCATCCCCATCTCAGCTTCCTTCCCCAGGGGAGTAGAGTCCTTAGCTTCCTCTCACCAACCAAGTCTCCATCCAGCTCCGTCCTCTGGGGAGGACATGCCCTTCACTCAAAACACCAAGTAGGAGCTTCTCAGCCCCCTCCCCCCGGCTTCTCCTGAGAGACACCCCATGATTCTCTGCCCCTGGCTGACACAAGAGAAGACAAAGAGGGCACAGGTGAGATGCTGATTGGTGAGACCTCCCTCAGGGAAGACGAGGAGGAGGTAGGAGGGCCAAGAAGGACCAGAGAGTCTCCACCTTGGCTTAGCCTGGGAGGCGCTGCCATCTAAGGTGATGTTTTCTCAGAGATCACAGCCAGATCTCCATGTGGTCGGGGTGGGCGTGAGGTGAGCCCCTCCTCAGACCCCATCTCCTTGAGGAGCTCAGGCTCTTGGAATTCAGTATACACACAGATCGGGAAACTTCATTTCATAGACGGGGATGGAGTGGTTCTGCGGCTGACCGTAGGCTGCAGTGATGGTTCCTGATGGGCTTGGTGGGGGCCTAGGGGGCAGGAACACATGGGGAGAAAGGCATGAAAAGAGAATTTTAGGATCCCACCCTTGTGCAACCAAACAGAGTAGGTGACTTGGGTTTCTTTTTGCACAGGCACCAGAGACCCCTTCATTCCACAGGTTCCCAGGATTCCACGTTCTACTAGAATCTACAGCTTGGAGTCAAGCTTCCCTGCAGGCTCCGCAGTGACACTGCTGCTTTAGAAAGTGCCAGCCCGGAACACTAGGACTCTTGCGTCTTTCCAGGTTTCATTGAGGCAGGCTCTTTCCCTCTCTGGTCTCTATTTCCTTGTCTAGGGAGGGTTAGAGTTGGTGGCTGACTCCAGCCCAGGGGATAGAGATTACAGTGGTAGAAGGAGGTGGGGAGGAGAGAAGAGAAGACAGGGGTGAGAGGACTCAGGATGAGGAACCCCAATACTGGGCCACGGAGGTCAGGGTCCCCTGCCCAGGGTTGTCACTTACCGGATGGTGATTTCAAAGATCTGATTGAGTTTGCTCTGGAGCAGCGATGCCTAGACACAAACACACGGAAGTGAGCTGGCAGGGGTGGGGGGTCCAGAACCTCTGCCAGCTGGCTCAGGGTGTCCAGAGTATACGCTGGAGGTACAGGGCAGCCACAGCCTTAGGAAGGCAGGCAGAGGTGAACACGCTCCAGCACTCATCCACTGGACCCTGACTGCAGATTCGGATCAGGGAAAGCCACCTACTGAAGGCTGGCTGGGGACAGGACAGAGGCTCAGAATCACCAGGGAGGACGTCAGCAGGCAGTTCTGGAAGGTCCTTTTCCTTAAGATGGGGCAGTAGGGGCTGCTGGGCATGGAGTCGGGAGACTGCACTAGTGCCGGCTCTTTTCTTTTCTTTTTTTTAATTGAGAAGGAGTCTTGCTCTGTTACCCAGGCTGGAGTGCGGTGGCATGACCTCAGCTCACTGCAACCTCTACCTCCTGGGTTCAAGTAAGTCTCCCAACTCAGCCTCCTGAGTAGCTGGGATTACAGGTGCCTGCCACCATGCCCGGCTAATTTTTGTATTTTTAGTAGAGATGGAGTTTTGCTATGTTGGCCAGGCTGGTCTCGAACTCCTGACCTCAGGTGATCTGCCTGCCTCAGCCTCCCAAAGTGCTGGGAGTACAGGCATGAGCCACTGTGCCCAGCCTGTGCCAGCTCTTTTCTAACTTGCAAGGAGCAGCTGTGCAAAACTGGTGGCTTAGAGATGATCTCTGATTACTTCTGGCTCTAATGAGGTTAATGAATGCAGAGAGTGGGACTGCACGTGTTCCGTGACTGGGCCCTGATTCCTAGCTCATAACATGGGCATCCCTCTCAAAGTGGGATGAGAGGTTAGAACAATACAGGCCCAGGAAAATCTATATGTGTTTTATATACACACACACACACACACACACACACACACTTCTATATGAATATTATATATAAAATATTTATACATATTATATTTTGTTAGGAGAATAGGTTATTTGTAGATTTTGAATGTTTACAGTTATGTTTCATTGTTACTAAGCTTGACATTCGGGGCTAATAAATCCCGGCATAGAATCAATTTCAAGATTGTCTGAGCTCCTCCCTCCAGTCTAGGCATGGCTCCTCATTTCTACATGTCCAGCTGCCTCTCTCTCTGATCTCTTTGCCAAGGCCTGGCTGTTCCATCCCCCTGCCAAGGTACCCTGGTTGGAAGAGGGTCCTGCTGCCAACGTTGACCATCTTCCTTTGCCACACACCCCTCCCCCATCACTCTGTAACATGGGGATCATAATGGCACCAACTTCATGGAGTTATCATGAGAATGAAAGCGGCTCATCAATAGAAGAAGCTGTCATCCGCAGTGAGTGCTGTTCACGTGCCTGCTGTCAGGACCACAGTGAGCATGATCTGACTGCCAGACAGGTGCCTCAGCTCAGGACTTCTTCCTTATGTGAGAAGTGTGAGGTCTCAGAGAGACCCAAGACAAACACCCAAGTCTTTTGGTTCATAGGGGAGCAGTGCAGCGCCAGGGTGTTGGGGAAAGCCTGGCAGGGCAACAGCGGAGCTCCCTGCATTGGAATACAAGCCCTGATGTCTGGCAGGGTGGGGGTGGGGGAGGTTGGTGGTCAAAGAGCCAAGATCTCCTAGGAACTTAATCCTGTCCTGGACCCAAATTCAGTCTTGACTTGGCTCCCAGGGACTCGCCCATGTCATGCTTCACTTACCCGGGCCCCGCAGTGTGCAGCAATCTCCTCGAAGGGTGCCTTCTGGAACTTCTCCACCACCTGCCGCCGCCGCTCACGCTCCTGCTCCTCCACTGCTACGCTGTCCACTTCGACACAGAGAGCTGGGTTAGTGCCAGGCCCTGCTCACTGAGGTGAAGGGAGGGACTCCTCCAGGGAGCACTGTCCATGAGCATTGCTTGGGCTCTCCCCTCTTCTGAAGAGTAGGGGACAGTGGCGTGGAGGTGCGGTGCCCTCACTTGGCCCTGGAAGGTGGGACCTCTTCCTGATTCTGCCTGAGGGCTCAGCCTTCTTCCTCATGTAAGAATTTGAGAACTATGTGGGAGGCCCTTTCAGCGGGGCTCTTACAGCCCCAAGTAGCTGCTCTCCCACCGGGACTCTTAAATTGAAGGTCCTGAACAGTTGGTCCTTTGAGTACTCTGTGGGTATTTTGAAAAGGGACATTGAGGCTGGGCACGGTGGCTCACACTTGTAATCCCAGCATTTTGGGAGGCCGAGGCAGGAGGACATCTTGAGGTCAGGAGTTTGAGACCAGCCTGGCCATCATGGTGAAACCCCCTCTCTACTAAAAATACAAAAATTAGCCAGGCGTGGTGGCATATGCCTGTAGTCTCAGTTACTTGGGAGGCTGAGGCAGGAGGATTGCTTGAACCAGGGAGGTGGAGGTTGCAGTGAGCCAAGATCACGCCATTGCACTCTAGCCTGGGTGACAGAGCGAGACTCCATCTCAAAAATAAACAAAAAAAGAAGAGGGACATTGACAATGGTAAAGCCACACAGACCACAAAAGCCAACATGAAACACGTGTGGCAGGGCAGCCCGAGGCCATTTAGTTTAAGGCTTCTACACATGCTGCTTGGTATCCAAGATGAGTTAGCACCAAGAAGAAAAAGGGGTGTGTGTCGCACATGTCCATAATACTGTTGAGTTTTTTTTTTTTTTTTTAATAGAGATGAGGTCTCACTATGTTGCCCAGGCTGGTCTCAAACTTCTGGGCTCAAGGGATCCTGCCACCTTGGCCTCCCAAAGTGCTGGGATTACAGGTGTGAGCCACCATGCCTGGCCCATACTCAGTTTAAGAAGGCAAGAAATAGCCAGGTGCAGTGGGTTATGCCTGTAAGCCCAGCACTTTGGGAGGCTGAGGAGGGCTGACTGCCTAAGGTCAGGAGTTCGAGACCAGCCTGGCCAACATGGTGAAACCCTGTCTCTACTAAAAATACAAAAATTAGCCGGGTGTGGTGGCGGGCACCTGTAATCCCAGTCACGCGGGAGGCTGAGGCAGGAGAATTGCTTGAACCTGGGAGGCAGAGGTTGTAGTGAGCCAAGATGGTGCCACTGCACTCTAGCCTGGGTGACAGGGCGAGACTCTGTCTCAGAAAAAAAAAAAAAAAGGGCAAGAAATGTGTACATTCAGAGAGACTATCATTAATGATGACAAAAATTTAAAAGTTTGGCATTTACAGGCATAATCTGTCAACAGTTAGAAAAATCTGTTGTTGTCCAATGATCCAGATAGAGAGGTAACATGCATTTTAAAATCATCTGCCCTTATTAAATAGACATTCATATGATTCGTTATTAATATCTTCCATTGGCCAGCTTGTTCTTTTGTATCACACTTCACCAAATAAACCAAAAATTTATCCCGAATTGCTTTCTACCTATAGCCATCAACTGATTGCCTTTTTTTTTTTTTTTTTTTGAGATGGGAGTCTTGCTCTGTCACCCAGGCTGGAGTGCAGTGGTGCAATCTCAGCTCACTGCAACCTCCGCCTCCTAGGTTCAAGCAATTCTCCTGCCTCAGCCTCCCAAGTAGCTGTGATTACAGGCATGCCACCATGCCTGGCTAATTTTTGTATTTTTTCAGTTGAGACAGGGTTTCACCACATTGGTCAGGCTGGTCTCCAACTCCTGACCTTGAGATCCACCCACCTCAGCCTCCCAAAGTGCTGGGATTACAGGCGTGAGCCACCATGCCTGGCCAACTGATTACTTTTAAAGGCAGCTGTCTTTACTGGCAAAAGCGTTGCCCACTGTGGGCCACACAGGGCCTCACTACTGACCCCCATCAGGAGAGCAGGGATATTCAGTGGCAGCTTTGGTGGCTGTGATGAGTTTGTCAAAAGACACCAGCCTCTCCCTTCACGCAGGTGCTGGATCCCACTGCGGAGGGTGGTGTGTCCTGCTGCATCTGCAGGAACAGGCCCAAGGACCCCACCCCATTTTGCCCTCTAACCAGAGTCCCTTTGCCCTGACTTACCAATGGCTTTCTTCAGTGTCTCATAGGTGATCTCCTCGGCAGGCACTCGCTGAAGGAGAAGGGACAGAGATGCTCAGAAAGGCAGGGGGCAGAGAAAGGAGGCAGCCCTGGCACCCCCAGCTCTCTGGCAGCCCCTTGCTTGTTGGAAGAAAGTCCCAGTGGGCAGGAAGTCCCTCAGGACACCCCCACCCCCCTCAGGGTCTCAGAAGCTCCCTGAGCAGGCACAGAGGACAGCGAGATGCAGCGGGGAAGCTCATTCCTCATCAGATTCAGACTTAGACAGAGTCCTGAATCTCACATAAAAGAACACACTGTCCCCTGCTCCCTCCCCAAGCCTGTCCATCAAGCACCATGGGAGGAAAACACTGCAATTTTATTTCATGTTATTTTATTTTGAGACAGAGTCTTACTCTGTCGCCCAGGCTGGAGTGTAGTGGCATGATCTTGGCTCACTGCAACCTCTGCCTCCTGGGTTCAAGTGATTCTTCTGCCTCAGCCTCCCAAGTAGCTGGGATTATAGGCGTGCACCACCATGCCTGGCTAATTTTTATATTTTTAGTAGAGACGGGTTTCACCATGTTGGTCAGGCTGGTCCCGAACTCCTGAACTCATGATCTGCCCGCCTCGGCCTCCCAAAGTGCTGGGATTATAGGTGTGAGCCACTGTGCCCAGCCAATACTGCAATTTTAAAACATCTTCAGAGAACACAACAGAAAACATTGGAAGCAAGGGAAGAGAGGTGGTGAATAGAATCTCAGATGTAAATTTCAGGAACTGAATATCAGTTCTGAAGTCTTTTTTTTTTTTTTTTTTTTTTTTTTGAGACGGAGTCTCGCTCTGTCACCCAGGCTGGAGTGCAGTGGCGGGATCTCAGCTCACTGCAAGCTCCGCCTCCCGGGTTCACGCCATTCTCCTGCCTCAGCCTCCCAAGTAGCTGGGACTACAGGCGCCCACCACTACGCCCGGCTAATTTTTTGTATTTTTAGTAGAGACGGGGTTTCACCGTTTTAGCCGGGATGGTCTCGATCTCCTGACCTCGTGATCCGCCTGCCTTGGCCTCCCAAAGTGCTGGGATTACAGGCGTGAGCCACCGCGCCCGGCCAGTTCTGAAGTCTTAAAGTATTAAATTACCCACCAATGCGACTTGAGCATTTAATAAAGATAAGAAATGGAAGGTTAGAAGTGACAGGCCGGATGCGGTGGCTCATGCTTGGAATCACAGCACTTTGGGAGGCTGAGGCGGGCGGATCACTTGAGGTCAGGAGTTCGAGACCGGCCTGGTCAACGTGGTGAAACCCCATCTCTACTAAAAATGCAAAAACTAGCCAGGCATGGTGGCGCGTGCCGGTAATCCCAGCTACTTGGGGAGTCTGAGGCAAGAGAATTGCTTGAAACCGGGAGGTGGAGATTGCAGTGAGCCAAGATCACACCACTGCACTCCAGCCTGGGCGACAGAGGGAGACTCTGTTTTTTTTTTTTTTAAAAAAAGAAGTGACCGGCCCTCCCCGGCTGCTGAGGTTCCAAGGAGTTACCCCACTCAGTCCTCTGCAGAGCCTATAAAAGGAAGTAGAAAATAATAAAACTCAAAGAAGGGAGATCCATAGATGCTGAAAATAATGAAGGAATTTGGACTAAATTCCAGAACTTACTCACTAGACAAAGAGCTATTAGACCTACGATTTACTCATGCTCTTCTTTTTTTTTTTTTTTTTTTTTTGAGATGGAGTTTCGCTCTCATCACCCAGGCTAGAGTACTATGGTATGATCTCAGCTCACTACAACCTCCACCTCCTGGTTGGTTTCCAGTGATTCTCCTGCCTCAGCCTCCCCAGTAGCTGAGTTACAGGTGGCCGCCACCATGCCCGGCTAATTTTTTGTAGTTTTAGTAAAGACGGGGTTTCACCATGTTGATCAGGCTGGTCTTGAACTCCTAACCTCAGGTGATCCACCTGCCTTGGCCTCCCAAAGTGCTGAGATTACAGGCATGAGCCACCACGCCCAGCCTCATGCTCTATCATTTAAACATAATCTTAAGCAAAAGCAGCAGACACAGAACAGAATGATTTCATTGATATAAAGTTCCAGAAGTAACGCAACTCAGGCTGGGAGCTCCCTTAGGGGAGGGGGCACAGAGGCAGGGCCCCTGGATGATGACAGTGTTCCACTCTCTCATCCAGGCGTGGTTGCGTGGGCATACACACTTTATGAAAATTCACTGAGTCGTGCATTTTTTGATTTGTTTGGCATTTTTGTTTGAGTAGGAGAGGACAGAAGTATATGTATGAGATAAAGTCATTTAACAAACATTAAGTGAGCACCAACTACATGCAGGACTGTAGGTGAGTCTATAGAAACTGCACAATTTGCTAGCATAGGAATTACATGCAAGAGAGAGCTATGCTCGGCTTTAACTCGCTCTGAGGACTTATCCTCTGTACGTCCATCCATTCATCCACTGTCAGCACCGAGCAACATTGGATATTCACCTGCAGGGTGCTAGGGAACTGTGTGGTGGCAACAGTCAAAGAAAATGCCGCTCTCTGGGCAAGAGAGAAGGGATGCTCCCTGGGCAAGAGCAGGGAGAGAGAAGTTTATGAGGAAACTGAACAGGGGCCGGGCGCTGGAGAACAGACAGTTCACAGGCGCTCAGCTGCACCAGTGTGGAGGGAAGGGTGGTTCAGATGTGGCATTCTGCACTAGCAAAGGCCTGGAGATGGCGGAGCGCAGCGTGGGAGAGATCGAGAGCAGCCCCACCAGAGTGGGACAGTGGATACGGGCCAGAGCAGGTGGGGAAAAATGAAATGGCAGAGCCCAGACTATGCATGGCTGGGAATGCCAGGCACCAGGATTCAGATTTGACCAAACAAGCATTTATTCACCCCTGCGGCAAGGCTGGGCAGTACGGCCCTAGGAACCACCGTGGGACTCTGGACTGGCACTGATGGCTGAGAGTGGAGAGAGTTGTGGCATGGCAGAAGGGCACAGGATGAAGGCCCCTGCACCCCTGCTTTGCCACCAAGCTACCTCTGGGCTAAGCTGACTCTTGAAGGGAGGAAGGAACTGATACTGGTGGCCCAGGAGGCCACTAGTGAGGAGGTGGCTCTGTAGCTGTGTAAGCATTTCGCCTTGCGCTTCTGAGTCACTTCACTCCTCAATTCCCGAGGGTCTCTTACCTCTTGGGAAGGGAGAATCGCCACTATGGGGAGAGAGCAGCCAACTCACCCCGATGCCTAACGCATTGGAGGTTCCCAGTCCTTGGAGCTGGAAGGGCCATGGAGGATGCCTCGTTCAACCTCATTTTACTTGTCCAATTAGCCCAAGTCAGAGCTTCCTTCCGTGGGAAGGTTCTGGATAAGCTTTGAGGGCCCTGGGGTAGAGATCTGCCCCAATAAATGAAGTGGTCGAGGGCACAGTTAGGGGGAGGCTTGATCCTGACCCCTAGAGACTTCTCCTACCTCTGATTGCATCTGGGGAAAGGCTTGATGTCAAAGCTGTCCTCCATGTCTATATCAGCCCTAATGGGCAGAGAGGCTGGGGAATGCCAGCCTGTCCATGCCTGAGGACCATGTAAGTCTTTCTGTCCCGGTCCCACCCAGATGTGTGTCCTCCGTACTTCTTGTGAACTGTAACAGTCAGCATTAAAAAAAAAAAAAAAAAAAACATCTTGGCTGTCAGTGGTTAGGGGAGAGATGAAGAGGTGGAGCACAGGGGGTTTTAGGGCAGGAAATGACTCTGTATGGTACTCTGGTGGGGGATGCATGTCATTACGCATTTGTCCAAACCCACAGAATGTACAACGCTGAGGGCGAACCCCAGTGTAAACGACAGACTTCAGATGATACTGTTGTGTTAAGGCAGGTTGAACTGTAAGAAATGCACCACTCTGCTGGGGGATATGGATAGGAGGGGAGGCTGTGCATGTGTCAGGGGAGGGGAGGGGGCAAAGGGCGATCTCTGTACCTTCCTCTCAATTTTGCTGTAACTAAAATTGCTTTAAAAATAGTGTAAATTTAAAAAAAGATTCTTTATTGATACATACGGAAGCAACACTATGAAAGCTGTTCTCACCCTTATCTCTCCAGTTAAGTCTTCTAGTTTCCAACCCAGAGCATATCGGTCCCCCTGTGAGTGGGGAATGATGACCAGCATGCCTTTCTTTTTAATTTTTTGAGACGAGGTCTCACTCTGTCACCTAGGCTGAAGTGCCGTGCTGCCATCATGGCTTACAGCAGCCTTGACCTCCCAGGCTCAGGTGATTCTCCCACCTCAGCATCCTGAGTACCTGGGACCACAGGTGCACGTCACCATGCCTGGCTGATTTTTCAATTATTTTTTGTAGAGATGGGGTCTCCTTATATTGCCCCAGATCATCTCAAACTCCTGGGCTCAAGCAGTCCTCCTGCCTCAGCCTCCAAAATGTTGGGATCACAGGTGTGAGCCACCATCCCCAGCCAGGCCTTTCAAGAGTGAGTTTTATGATATCCTCATGGGAGCAGGGAGGACCCTAACAATTTTTCCGAAGGGAAGTATCTATGACGCATACGTGGGGAGAGTCAGTACAAGTGTGGAATTACTCGAGAAACTTGCTTTCCATGCAGCCTTAAGCCCACTATGCAGGCAGGGGAGCCTGGAGTCCAGCGTCCAATCTACAGGAGGTGGGGCTGCCCCAGGACGGTGGCACGGACACTCACCTCCTCCTTCTCCGGACTGTTCCTCGATTCTACCTCCACCTGCAGGGAGATGGTCTCTCCAATGCTCCTCCTCTTGGATAAACGATCCTCATCTGGGGAAGAAGCAGCCCAGAGGCTTTAGTTCCCAGCCCTCAGAGATCCAGGACTGAGCTGCTAGTCCCACCTCCCTACCCCTCTGCCTTTGCTTGGTCCACAGTCCTCTAAGGCTCAGTGCACACTCAGGCTACACTTGGAGTTTATAGAAGCTTCCGATTGCTGTGGGCCTTCTCTGTCCATCTTAGGGTGGTCAGTTTTGTTCTTTGGGGCTAAAATTTTGAAATCGTCAACGAGAACACAAAGAAGGTGCTTATGACCAGAATACATATCTCACCTTATGTGTAAGCATGATCTGCTAAGAGCACCAGTAGCTCTTCATGAAGCATTTACTAAGTGCATTTGCATTAATACAGGTACCTTATCATGCCAGCCCTCTAAGGCAGCTATTGTTTTTGTTTTTTTGTTTTTTTTTTAGACGGAGTCTTGCTCTGTCGCCCAGGCTGGAGTGCAATGGCGCGATCTTGGCTCACTGCAATCTTTGCCTCCCGGGTTCAAGCAATTCTCCTGTTTCAGCCTCCAGAGTAGCTGGGACTACAGGCACCCACCACCACATGCAGCTAATCTTTTGTATTTTTAGTAGAGATGGGGTTTCACCGTGTTGCCTAGGCTGGTCTTGAACCCTTGAGCTTAGGCAATCCATCCGCCTCAGCCTCCCAAAGTGCTGGGATTACAGGTGTGAACCTCTGCACCCAGCAGGCAGCTATTGTTAAATTCCTGTTTTACAGTCAAGGAAACTGAAATTCAGGGATGCAAAGGACTTGTCTAAGATCTTTCAGGCAGTAAGTTGCACAGGGGTCTCAAACTGGGTCTCTGGTTCCATAGCCATATATGCTCTTTCCAGCACAATGGAACCTCTCCCATCCTCAGGCCAGGCCATCTCATGGGCCAGGTACTTCCAAGGACCCTGTCCTGAGGAGGAGAGGTGGGGCAATCAAGAGGACCTCACCATAAATTTCCACTGTGTCTTTCAGCTCTCACGACATCCAAGGTGCCTCACAGGCAATCAAAGGGCTATAAGTCCCTTATGCTCAGGCCCTTACCTGGCCAAGTAAAGACAGAGGCAGGCCCGGGCATCCCTGCACAGAACTCATACCTGTCAGCTGAGGAATGTAGGGCAGGCAGAGCCGGTCCGAGTTGTAGCCACTGCCTCCCAGGACTTCACTGATCTTGCTCTGGCGGAAGAGGAGCTCAATGACCACCCCATCAAGATTCTGAGACAGCCTGGAAGATGAAGGAGGGAGAAAGTTCGTTAGAACCGCGGTATCTAGAATGACTTCTGAACAATTTTTTTTTTTAAGACAGGGTTTTGCTCTTGTCGCCCAGGCTGGAGTGTGGTGGTGCGATCTCGGCTCATTGCAACCTCCGCCTTCCAGGTTCAAGCGATTCTCCTGCCTCAGCCTCCCGAGTAGCTGGGATTAAAGGCACCTGCCACCACGCCAGGCTAATTTTTTGTATTTTTAGTAGAGACGGAGTTTCATCATGTTGGCCAGGCTGGTCTTGAACTCCTGACCTCGGGTGATCCACCCGCCTCAGCCTCCC
Organism: Homo sapiens; assembly: GCF_000001405.40. Lineage (NCBI taxonomy): Eukaryota > Metazoa > Chordata > Mammalia > Primates > Hominidae > Homo > Homo sapiens. The sequence continues at coordinate 25,143,416 of NC_000002.12, read as the reverse complement.
AAAATGCTGGGATTACAGGCGTGAGCCACCATGCCCGGCCAACTTTTCTTATTAAAAAAGTAACATCTTCACTATGCAAGATGACAGAGAAGCAAAAGGAACAGTCACCCCCAGTCCCATTTCCAGAGATAACCACTATTCATTTTATAATATATTCTTATGTACAACAATCACATCCTTCAGTCACTTTTTTTTTTCTTTGAGACGGAGTCTCGCTCTGTCACCCAGACCGGAGTGCAGTGGCACCATCTCTGCTCACCGCAAGCTCCACCTCCCAGGTTCACACCATTCTCCTACCTCAGCCTCCAAGCCTGGCTAATTTTTTGTATTTTTAGTAGAGACGGGGTTTCACCATGTTAGCCAGGATGGTCTCGATCTTCTGACCTCGTGACCCGCCCGCCTCGGCCTCCCAAAGTGCTGGGATTACAGGCATGAGCCGCCATGCCCAGCCTTTTTTTTTTTTTTTTTTTTTAAAGACAGGGTCCTCACTGTGTTTCCCAGGCTGGAGTGCAGTGGCTATTCACAGGCACCATCATAGCACACTACAGCCTTGACCTGCCAGGCTAAAGTGATCTTCCTGCTCTGCCTCCCAACAGGTACGCTCCACCATACCTGGCTAATTTTATTTATTTATTTATTTATTATTATTATTATTTCTTAGACCAAGTCTCTCCCTGTTGCCCAGGCTGGAGTGCAGTGACATGATCTCAGCTCACTGCAACCTCTGCCTCCCAGGTTCAAGGGATTCTCCTGCCTCAGCCTCCCAAGTAGCTGGGATTACAGGCGCACGCCACCACACCTGGCTAATTTTTGTATTTTTAGTAGAGACAGGGTTTTACTGTGTTGGCCAGGCTAGTCTCCAACTCCTGATCTCAAGTGATCTGCCCGCCTCAACCACCCAAAGTGCTAGTGCTGGGATTACATAGGCATAAGCCACTGTGACCGGCCTAATTTTTTTTTTTTTTTTTTAGACAGAGTCTTGCTCTGTTGCCCAGGCTGGAGTGCAGTGGCATGATCTCGGCTCACTGCAACCTTTGCCTCCTGGATTCAAGCAGATTCTCCTGCCTCAGCCTCCCGAGTAGAGTAGCTGGGACTACAGGTGTGCGCCACCATACCTGGCTAATTTTTGTATTTTTAGTAGAGATGGGGTTTCACCATGTTGGCCAGGATGGTCTCGAACTTCTGACCTCAAGTGATCCGCCCACCTTAGCCTCCCAAAGTGCTGGGATTACAGGCGTGAGTCACTGTGCCCAGCCCGGGCAAAATTTTTAAACATTTTTTGTAGAGATGGGTTCTTGCTTTGCGGCCCATGGTTGTCTCGAACTCATGGGCTCAAGAGATCCTCCTGCTCAGTCTTCTGAGTCGCTGGGCCTGCAGGCGTGAGCCACCGCACCCAGCTTAGTCCCGTATTTTTAAATATACACAGATATCCCCTTCCCCACCCGCTGTTCTGTGATCTATTTTATTGACCTATTTATGTAATGGGTATTTTACATTAAATATTCTTCTAAAACATTGTCATGATTGTCTACTGTATGGATGGGCCATAATTTATAAAGCCATCCCCTACTGTTAGACATTTTGGTTTTGCAAAACATCTTTCCCTTGAGTTCCTCTGATGTTGAAATGACACTGGCCCACAGCACCCACTATGATCCGAAAACATTACTTGGATTTACAGTAATGTCTTGTCAGGAATGACTCCTCCAGGATGCATTTAGCATGGGCTTGGCCAAAGCCCCCGGAGGCTGTGTCTCATCTGCAAACATGGCTCAGCATTGCATGCTCGAGGCATGGACTGCAGTAATGTGATGGGGTTGAACTTTACCCAGGACTCCTGGACCACAGGCAGAGCCCACCTTCTGCCCTTGAGTCCACAGAAGTCTGAGCCTCCTGGCATTGACCCCTCCTGACCTCAGACCACCCACCTGCTTACTCAGCTGCCCTGGGGATCCCTGACCACGTCCCCCGTCCTCTCCTCACCTGGGCCTCTCCACAAACACATCCTCGGGGAGCATGTATGGAGCCTCTTTCTTCCTGGTCTCTATCACCTGGCGGTTGGGAGGAATCAGATAAGAGCTGGTTCAGCAGGGAGAGGGAGCTCACAGGCAACGAAAGAGCTCCCATGCCCGGCTCGGTGCTTCCTCCCTCCCACAGCCTCCTCAGCACAGTGTCCTCAGCTGAGCTTTTCAGTGGAAACTCGCATCAACAGGGACCCTCAGGGCAGCCTGAGAAGCTCAAGCTGCCTGCTCAGGCCATGGCCATCAATGACACATGTGCACTAAGTGTCCTCCAATGCAGGGAACTTAACTCTTAAGAGACTGCAGCTGCTGGCTCCAATGCCTCATTCCTATGCTTTTTTTTTTTTTTTTTTTTGAGACGGAGTCTCGCTGTCTTGTCCAGGCTAGAGTGCAATGGCACAATCTTGGCTCACAGCAGCCTCCACCTCCCAGTTTCAAGCAATTCTCCTGCCTCAGCCTCCCGAGTAACTGAGACTGCAGGTGCATGCCACCACGCCTGGCAAATTTTTATATTTTTAGTAGAGATGAGGTTTCACCATGTTGGCCAGGCTGATCTCAAACTCCTGACCCCAAGTGATCCACCTGCCTTGGCCTCCCAAAGTGCTGGGATTAAGGCTGAGCCGCTGCACCTGGCCTCATTCCTGTGTTTTTTATTTAAACAGGTACAAAGGAATGTAGTTCACACCTTGTCCCAAACCTGGGTACTGCAGTACCCAAGTGCATTGCAAAACACCCTGATGGACAGTGACATCTTGAGCTTTACTCAGTACTCTTTGCAAATTTTTGACAAGAAAAGTGCAAGTTACTAAGGTGGTAAGAAGTGGAGGGATGGTCAACATACAGGTGTGTGTCGAGGGTGAGGAGGTAAAGGTCCCACAATTGTCAGGCAGAGGATGTCTGGGCATTGCCTTTCTTATACTCCCTTATCAGCCCAGAAGCTGGAAGACTCCTGCTTCCCTTTGAGTGGTCTCTGTCACAGTCACGGCACCCTCCCCTGTGACTCCCAGCCAACCCAGGCTAGTTAAGACCTAAATTTTCTTGTTTTGTTTTATTTTGTTTTGCTAATGTATTTCATTTTATTTTATTTTTGAGACAGAGTCTTGCTCTGTCACCCAGGCTGGGGTGCAGTGGTGCAATCTTGGCTCAACTCCATCTCCCAGGTTCAAGCGATTCTCCTGCCTCAGCTTCCTGAGTAGCTGGGACTACAGGTGTGCGCCACCATGCCCAGCTAATTTTTGTATTTTTAGTAGAGACGGGGGTTCACCATGTTGCCCAGGCTGGTCTCGAACTCCTGATCTCAAGTGATCCACCAGCCTCGGCCTCCCAAAGTGCTGGGATTACAGGCTTGAGCCACTGCGCCTGGCTTGCTAATGTATTTTAAAGTTAATCCTACATGTTGGTATCATTCAACCTCTAAGCACTTCCATGTGTTTTAAAAGATCTTTATGCAACAACTGAGAACACATTTGACTATAGAATGGGTGTCAGATAACACCAAGGAATTACTGATCACTTAATGAGCTGTGTTAAGAGCATGGCAGTCATGTAGGGAGGTGTTCATGCTGTTTCAGGCATGCAGACGGATATACATAGAGTGAAAGGACAGGATAGCTGGGATTTGTTTTAAAATATTTGTTTAAAGTATTTAAAATTTGTTCAGCAAAGGAAAAGAAAAGGAGACAGATGAAGCAAATGGGGAGAAATTTTCATAACTGTTCATTTCATATGAGTGGGCGTGAACAGATGTTCATTCACCATTCTACTCGGGCCACCTTTGCGGTATTTGATAGCTTTAGTCTGCATGATCTGAGGTCACTTTTGCGGTATTTCATAGCTGTAGTCTGCATGATCTGAGGTCACTTTTGCGGTATTTCATAGCTGTAGTCTGCATGATCTGAGGCATGTGTGCGGGTGTGCTCCCGTGAGTAGGGGAAAGACAGAGGGGCAGGAAGTGGAGGGGGCAGACAGTATTAGAAACAGGTATAGAAGACCCCCCCCAACCCCTGTGCCTAACCCCACCCTGCTTTGTCAAGTCATACAGGAGGGAAAGATGCCACGAGTAACTTCTCACCATTAGTGGTTCTTACTTCAACCCTGTCTTCACTGCCTAAGTGTAGGTACAGGACTAATGCAATTAAGGAAAAGCTGTTCCCAGGAAACCCCAAGTTGAGGGCCCCCTGAGCTCTTGGTCGTGAGAACACCAACCTCATGGATGTGCTGGCAGAAGGCAGGCACTGTTGTGAGCTGACTGATGAGGTTCAGGTAGGCTGCGCCCAGAGCATAGAGGGCACAGCGGTTGTAGACAGGCAAGTTCTCCTCATTGACTTGGGCCACGTCCTGCGGCAACATAGACAAGGCCTCCGGAGTTTTTCACTGACAGACTACACTGGGTGCCAACGCTCCACCCGACCTCTTCCCAATCTTCTTTAGAAATGCTTGCTTTCCTAGACTAAGTCTTTCTCAGCATTTGACCCAAACCTTCCTGGGGGAAAAAAGTCACCTTCATTAAAGCTGAAGGGAGGGGTCCCTAGAACAGTCCGTGAACTGGGAGGCTCTTGAGTACTCACAGACTACAGAGGCAATGACCTCAACTCCCCACTCTGCAGTTCCAGCTGTGGCGACCTTCACTGCCCAAACCCTGGTCGTTAATCCCACTGCCAGGGTGCTGTCTCCTTCACTATAGCGGATTCTTAGAGGACTGGATTGGCTTGCTAAACTGGGCTCATATGTTAAGCTAAATTAGCTGTGGGAGTTACCAGGGGATTGGGATATAAAGGAACCCCAAGTTCTAGTTCTTGAGGGTAAACAGAATTTAAAAATTATAGCATCTAGGCTGGCCCTGCAGGATTTAGCACCAACAGACAGGTGGTCTGAGACTGTCACTGAATTCCCAGGCTTGCCCCGATTCAGGAATATGATGCCCTCCTGGCTTCAGGACCCTGGAGACCCAGCCTTTGAGGTCCAAAGGACCCACCCTGACTCCCAGTAGCCTTGGGTGTACACACGCACCCAGGAAGACCATGAAAGCCTCAAGCCCTGTCCGGTGCCACACTGGCTGCCTGCGCATCGCAAAGGAGGCTTGGTAGACAGGTCCCCAGGCTTCCAGACTCTGACTTACCTTCCCAGGAAATAGACACTTTAAACAAGTGCTCAAAGCAATTCTGAAGCACAGCTCCATTTGGGAACTAGAGAATCTTTTTTTAATTTTTAATTTTTTAAATTTTTAGATGGAGTCTTGCTCTGTTGCCCAGGCTGGCATGCAGTGGTGAAATCTCTGCTCACTGCAACCTCCACCTCCCTGGTTCAAGTGATTCTCCTGCCTCAGTCTCCCAAGTAGCTGGGACTACACGCATGCACCACCACGTCCGGCTAATTTTTGTATTTTTAGTGGAGACGGGGTTTCACCATGTTGGCCAGGCTGGTCTTGAACTCCTGACCTCAAGTGGTCCACCCACCTCGGCCTCCCAAAGTGCTGGGATTACAGGCATGAGCCACCACGCCCGGCCAAGGGAACCAGAGAATCTTTAGACAAATGAGTTTGTCTGGGATCACTCAGGGCTTATGAGCATCCTTTTAAGAATCCCTGGAGTCTCACTCAGACTCTGCGAGAGACTTGACATGTAGTAGCTAAGGGATGTTTCTGAACGACCCGGTTCCCTGGGTCTTCTTTAGCTTAAGGACGGGCCAAGACCATGAATGAAGCATTCTTTGGGGTTCCCCAAACAGGACCATGGTTTGGGGTCTTCAGGGAGGCGTGGCCAACCACGAGTACAATATTCCTGGGCTCCAAAACAGTGTTAAGCAGTTGCTAGTCAATACTCTTATCAGGGCTTGCCCAAAACAAGTCCCTCCCCTGATCCCAAGCCCCATGCCCTGCGCACACCAGGCCCCACCTGAACAGCCAGCACCAGACGGATGAGGTCCACCACCACCTCCTCGTTAGCCAGCTCGATGCTGATGAGGGCCAGCAAGCCATAGAGCGCCTCGTAGTGTTTCTGCACGTTTGTTTCCTCCTTGCAGCTCAGGTAGATGTGTCTGTAGAGCTGCTGGGAGTGCTGGGGACAGGAGCGGGCAGAAGGCCAGGGTCGGAGGGATGGGGACAGGAGGGGCAAGGAGAACACGGAGGAAGACCAATCTGAAGGGGGGCAGGATGGCTGTGTGCCCCCTCCTCCCTTGGGGAGGGGATGCCTTTAAAGCGGGCTCTGGCAGAAGCAGACACACACAGGAAGGCTCACGTAGGGAAGGATGGGCTCCAGTGAAACCAGCACCAGAAGCTGCTGCCCAAATCCAGGTGTAGGAGCAGAACACAGTCACTGGCCCTGGACTGGCTCATCACTCTGGGCTTGACTCCTCAGAGAGGTCAGCTTAACACATAGCCACAGAGGGAGGAGACGTAGCTACAGAGAGAGGAGACAGAGCTACAGAGGGAGGAGACATAGCTACAGAGGGAGGAGGCAGGCTCCAAGGGCAGTCAGTGGTCAGCAGTGACTTTTGCTCTGTCACCCAGGCTGAAGTACATTGGCACAATCTCGGTTCACTGCAACCTCCACCTTCTGGGTTCAAGCGATTCTCCTGCCTCAGCCTCCCGAGTAGCTGGGATTGCAGGTGCCCACCACCATGCCCGGTTAATTTTTGTAGCTTTAGTAAAGATGGGATTTTACCATGTTGGTCTGGCTGGTCTCGAGCTCCCCACCTCAAGTGATCTATCCGCCCGCCTCAGCCTCCCAAAGTGCTGGGATTGCAGGCGTGAGCCACCGTGCCCGCCCTTCACTGTGCCTGGAGGTCATGCTTGTTTACCTTCTTCATGAAGACGGTGTCCTGTCGAGAGCACTTGTCCACTTTCAGCTTCAGGACAGAGATGTCACTGAGGGTACTGGGAAGGGATGCAAAGGGCCTCCTTAGCCCTTGCATGAGGCCAGCCTGAGCTCACACGGGGTCACTGAGCTTTATCCCCAACATTGTTAGTTGGTACAAAGCCTCCAGTGCTCCCCTGGCCCTGGTTCTCAGCCCGATTACCTTTTCCTCCCAAGTTCTCAAGAATTTGTCCCTTTATCTCTCTCTCTTTTTTCCTTTTTGAGACAGGGTCTTATTCTGTCACCTAGGCTGGAGTGTAGTTGTTCCATAATCACAGCTCTCTGCAGCCTTAACCTCCAGGGCTCAAGCAATCCTCCCAACTCAGCCTCCCAAAGAGCTGGGACCACAGGTGTGAGCCACCACACTCGGCTAATTTTTAAATTTTCTTGTAGAGATGGGGGTCTCACTATGTTGCCCTGGCTGGTCTTGAACTCTTGGGCTTAAGTGATCATCCCACCTTGGCCTCTCAAAGTGTGAGATTACAGGCACGAGCCACCGCCCTGACCCCCTTTCTCTTAAATCTTCATCCTGATTATTTTCTTCCTCCTCTTATTCCCCCCAAATCCCTTCAGTCTCTACTGATAACCTGCATCCCCTTCCTTCTCACACTTGCAACTCCCTTTAATGCCTACTCTCTATCTTCCAAATCTTCAGTTCACCCTCCTGCTCTCCCAGACACAAGTGCCCTTTAGTCTCTCCTTCTCTTGCAGGACCCCAGGGTCAACGTTGGTGATCAACTCCTGGTGAGTCTCACTGAGTATCTGAATTGTGGGATACTCAGATCCCACAATACTCAGATACTGAGGTGGGAACCTGGGTGTGAGGACAGGACCAAAGGATAGGACCTAATGGAGAGTCCTCTCCCCATCTTGCATTGCCTGGAGGAGACACCCCAAGTTCACCTGATGGTAGAGAACTTGTGGCGGTTGCCATGACGATCAATGAAACTGATGAGAATCTCTAGAACAAAGAGTCGAATTTCTGCATCCTCCATGAGGGCGGTGGAGAGAAGGCGGTCCAGGAAGTTGCTAGGCAGGGCTGACATCATGTTGTTGCACTGGAAACCTGTGGATACCTGCAAGGGAGGTATGGACAGCTATGCCTAGGAATGCTGTCCCTCTCAGGTGCAGGAGGAGATGGAGGAGCAGCCAGAGGAAGTCAGGTCTGATGTACACATCCTCTCTAGACATCGCCCAATCCAGCCTCCCCTACCCTACAGCCCAGGCAACTCTTTGAACACTCCAACATCCACCTAGATGACACCGAGCTCAGTAGACATGTGAATGGATGGGGACAGCGTGCAGGGACATTCGGGTGTTAAAAAGCAAGCAAGGGATGAGCCCTGGAGGGAAGCGGGAGCCAGGCAGTCTCTGAACCTAACATTCCAGCCAGTTAGGGCACAACTGATGAACAGCCACCAGGAACACAATGCCTCATTAAGAGTATGACCATCACAAAGAACGAGACAGTGGAAGAACTCACAGCTGGGCTGAAGGATCAGAACTCACACACACGGCAACCACCAAATAGTGCACATAGGTAGTATTTTGTAACATGTCTGTTAGCCTGGCAATAATGGCGCTTTGTGACTAAAGCCAGTTTGGCATAAATAGATATGCCATACATGCTGTTGTCAAAGCATTCAAATGCAGCAAAGCACCTTTACTGTTAAATCCATATTGTAAAACAATGCTTTTGATGATTCAGAAGGTCCCTAAGGATGTACCCCAAACTGTTATCTTAAGAAAATGCTGGGTACAAATTAATGAGGATAAACTCAGCAAAGAAATGGCAGGAATATGGAGACCAAGGTGATAACTAAATGAGGGCAGTGTTGGAGCACAAAGGGTTTATAAAAATCTAGTGCCATGAAGAGTGTGGACTGGAGGGGAGGGAAGGGAAGGTGTGAGGTGGCGGCGGGGTCGGGGGAGTTCTGTTTAGATTGGCATGGCCAGAACTGAGACAGAGATTGAGAGATGAGACAGGAGGTCTAGGGAGGGAGAGGGGACTGGGGACCTCCCAACTTCAGTCTGAGAAGTTTGAAATCTGGTTGTACATGAATTATAAACTGAGGCCGGGCACAGTGGCTCATGCCTGTAATCCCAACACTTTGGGAGGCCGAGGCAGGTGGATCACTTGAGGTCAGGAGTTCAAGACCAGCCTGGCCAACATGGTGAAACACCGTCTCTACTAAAAATACAAAAAAATTAGCTAGGCGTGGTGGTGGCATGCGCCTGTAATCCCAGCTACTCAAGAATCACTTGAACCTGGGAGGCGAAGGTTGCAGTGAGCCAAGATCGCACCACTGCACTCCAGCCTAAGCAACAAGAGCGAAACTCCATCTCAAAAAAAAAAAAAAAAAAATATAAACTGAGACCTACTGTGAAATAAGAGGCATCTGGTAGAGAACAGCATTTCTAGACAATTACTGTTGTAGCTGAGTTTCTGACAGGTGGGGAGAGGTGGTTGTGAGATGTCAGGTTTAGGCCAGGGGTTGTGCTTCAGAATACCTGGGGAACTTGTTACAAATACAGATTCCAGGACCTCACTCAGGCTAACAGCTTAAAACCTCTGAGGAATCATATATTTATCACAAGACTGTCATCGGAATGGTGTTTGAGAGCAATGGATCTAGACTCCAGTGATGGCTGCAAAGATGTAAAGAAGAGTTAAATAAAACACAGCATGGGAAGGATGGGGGCTGGGAGACTGAGGTGGGCACATGTGCCAAGAACACGTGCTGGCAAAACAGGGGACACAGAGGGGAAAAGGGAAAGAGGGGGTACCAGGAGGGAACCAGGGCGGGAACCAACAGATTCCGTCTCAAGACAGATCACGTCTGAGTGACAACGCTATCAGTAGCCAATAAGGAACCTTTGTGAAAATTAGAAACAGGTTCCCCATTTGCTGTGGCTGACCCAGCTCTGTGGGTGCCCAGCCTGGCTAGTGAGTGGAACGTAGGCTAGATTTCAGCCCCGACTCAACCGACTGGGTGTATTTGTGCAGTATGCCACATGCACGACTGTATGTGGAGGCCTTCACTTGGTCCCTTGGAAGGAGCTGTCTCCTGCAGAGGAAGAGCAGGAATGGGGATAGATGGGGCTCACCTGCAGGAGGGATTTTAGCAGCATAATCTGGGTCAGACGGTTCCTATTCTCCCTGTAGACCAGAGACACAAACACTCACCAGGATGGTAATAGGGCAGAGGTCACACACTTGCCAGCTTAGTTCTACCCCAATTCGTTTCTCCATGAGGCTTATCGTGTTGGGTTACCCAGGACAGTGACTTCCGGACCCAGGAAGCCGACCAAGAGATGACTGGCTCCCCCCACGTTGGGAGGTGGTTATTGGTGGGGCAGCCTGAGAAACTGTGGGATCCAAGAGCCCCATTAAAGGCTGCTGAGGGATTTGGGAGTAAAAAGAGAGCAGAGGGCAGAGCCAAGAAAATTAAGAGGGATAAAGGAGGGGGTCAGAAAATGCAGCTGGGGGAGAGGAGGACTCCAGGCTGGGGGAGATTGGTGGCTCACCCCGTCCTGCCTGTGTCCACCGCCTGGTGCAGGGATGGCCGCGGGACCTTGCTCATGATGAAGAGGATCACCTCGGAGCGCTGGTAGGTGGGCAGCGTGCTGGCAAAGGAGCCTGCAGGAGGTGGCGGAGAGGGTGCCCAGTGAGGCACAGGCTCCAGGGCCCCTCCTGGTTCAGCCTTTCAGCTGCAGAGAGCGAGGGCTGCCTCTCTCCGGAGTCAATCCAGGACCAGAGAAAGGGATTCAGGATAGCCCGGGTGTGATTCGGCCTCTCCAGGAAAGGGAGGCATCAGGTGGTTTTGGAGGTCTCTTCCAGGCTCCGTTTTTTCACTTGTTCCTGAGGCTGTGGTTAAGGTCTTGACTCCTTGGCTAGGGGGTGGGGATGGTGAATGCTGGGCCCTGGGACCAGGGCGGAGCGGGGGGTCGGGGGGAGCCCGAGTTCTCGTTGGGTGCTTCTTTCACTGGCTGCCCTAGGGTAAATCCTCCTCCCACGAACTAAGAGAGAAGAATGGTTCTGCATTCCTAACCTGCCTACTCCAGGCTGAAGGGAAGCTCACATGGCTAGGGCAGGCAGGCTGTGAAAGAGGCTTTATCTAATCTCCGCTCCCAGGAGCACACACATTTTCTCCGCGGCTGGCCCCCTTCCTCATTCTTTTCTCTTAGTCCCCATCTCTCCCTCCTGGAAGCCCTAACCTGGAAGCATCAGGCAGGTCTGATGGTGACTGGGACTAAAGAAGGTTCGCCTGAGACTTCAGATCTGAGACACTCATCTGACTGCTTGCGCTGTCGCTCAGGCCCTGCCCAGCCAGTCCTTTCATTTCCCGACTTCATTCTCTCCGAGGTCCGTGAATAGCATGTGGGTGCTGGACAATCCTACAGGGGCCCGGTTGGATGCCCTTCGCCCCAGTGCGGTCCCTCCCTCTCCAACCCCCATCCCCGGGCCGCCCCCGGTGCCCCGCCCCTTTCCAGGGTCCCTCTTTCCTCCCCTTGGCCCCACCCCGCCCTGCGCCTCAGTCTTGAGCCCCTGGGCCCCGTCCCGTCCCTCCCCTCCCCTCCCCACTCCGCGCCTCGGCCCCGCCCCGCCCCGGCCCGGCCCCGCGCCGCACCCACGGTCTTGATGACGGCCTCCTGGAACATGCGCTCCTCGTGCTCCTTGATGATCTTGGTGCCGAGGCTGACCGCCCCGTCGTAGCTCCCGGTCAGCGCGTAGTCGATGCTGAGCCGCAGCTGCCTCAGCAGCGTGTTGAACATCTCCAGTACTGTGGGCCCTGAGAGCGGTGGGGCGGGACACCCGAGATCCAAGGCTGGCACCCTCCTCCTCTGTGCACCGCGCGCAGGCAGGGCAGGGTCACGCCCCCTTCCAGCCTGGGCTTCCTCTGCGCTCCCAACTTCCTGGCGGACTTCTCCCGAGGAAAACGGACTCCGACCCCTCCCTGTTGTCCCTTGCCTCTCTCTGTAAGAGGCGGCAGCCTCCGCGGGGTCCCCGGCCCTCAGGCCCTAGCCATGCCCCTTACCCACAGAGCCGGTGGCAGCGATGACCGCGGCTTCCGACAAGACTTCCACGATGCCCGCGCGCACCGTCGCAGCGCTGCGGCTGTTGGCGTCCAGGTGGCCCAGGAGCTGCTGGATGACCAGGTGTGAGTGCTGCGGCTGCGGGAGGAAGATGAGCTGGGCCTGGACAGCAACCCCACGGGGTCCCTGGGCTGCGCAGCCCTCTCCTGGCACCCAAAGGCGGGGGTAAACTAAAGGGACGTTCCAAGGCCCCGGGCACTGCAGTTGGCACTGACACCTCGTGCCCTTTACTGGATCCTTCCCTTCTCCCTCCAACAAAGAGCCAAATCCCAGTGGAGGCCTCAGCTGACAGTTTTCCAGGGCCCTTTTACTTCAAAATTGGTCAAAAGACCATTTTAAAATAGGGTCTTCCTTTCATTTCTTCAGGTCTTTCCGGCAAGAGCCACGGGAGGCCACATGGCTTAGTCCAGTGCTGCCTAAAGTGGGGCCCCTGGGCTGGTGCCCATTCAAGATAGGTCTGATATTGGTTTACACTGAGATAAGGATGGGATGGAAAGTCAGTGTTTAGTAAACAATTTGTCAATGCTGTAGCAGCCAAGGGTGTGATCTGTAGGCTTGCATTTTGCATGAGTTTTTTATTTAATTTTTCTAGAAATTATTTGTTTTAATTGTATTTTATAAAAGTATTGGTCTGTGATGTACTGGAAATAAAATCAGCCGGCCCTTCTCCACAGCTAGCTTAAGCAGCACTGGTTTCGGCAACTGGGGGCTTCGGAGGAGTCACAGGGGACTTCTGGCTTTCTATTTTAGCACCCGTCTAGCTTCTAGAGAGGCCTTTGTCCTGGGATCCGGCTGGCCCAGGGGAGCCACCATACCTGAATTGAGTACATGATGATTTTAAAGCAACGGATGGCAAACACCTTGGGTTCCCAAAGAGAATGGTTATCCAGATGGCTGTGAGGGAGAAAACGTGGGGGAACAACTATGAAACTCCCGGCAGTGTTAGGGAGAAGAGATTAGCTTGGAGGCAGAGGGACACCTTCTCAGAGCCCCTCGCACAGTTCCCGGGTGAGGAAGTGAAGCCTGAAGGGCCTTGGGGTAGTCCCAGTCCAGTGCTGGAGAGAGGCCAAGGACAGCGCTCTGCAGTTGTGGATGTGTGTGGTGAAGCTGGGCACCTTTGCTTAGCGTTGGGTGCCTTCCTACTGGCAGCAGTTGGCCACCCTGTGGCAGCTTTTGCTGTCACAGTGCAGGGAACACAGGCACAGGGAAGGGATCGACTCGGCTGCGGCACCACAACTGTAATATCCCCTTCCCCCCAGCCAGCCAGGAGATGCCAGGGACCTGAAACACATCCAGGCTGAAGGCTGGGGCCAAGGCAGTGGGTGGGGGCACTCACATGAGAACAGGCTTGATGGCGTTTTTGATGTTGCCAAAGGCAGCCCGGCCCAGCAGCTCCCGAAGACACCTCTCAGCCAGCTCCGCGGGGCTCTCTTTCTCCTTCTCAGGTGCTTGGAGGGGTGAGGGAGACCGGCTGGGGAGACAGAGGCACATGGGTAGAGGGTGGCATGCAGGCTGGGGTCAGGCTCTGTACAATCCCGGCTTTCCGTGTTTCATCCACACAAGACAAGCAGGAATTTGACATGGGTTGCACTAGGCAATAGGGGAGGCGTCACAGCTGTCAGAAATTAAATGGGGGTAAAGAAGCCCCCACTGGGGGAAGTGGGGGAAGACCGGAGAAGAAAAGATAAAGTTCTTTTTCTGGAAATCCTTAAAGATTTCCAGATGTACCACTGTGGGAAGGATGCTCTGAGCCCCATGGGCCAGGTGAGGTGTAGAACATGTGTGTCTTGATGCACCTAAGACTTCAGAAGGAAAAGGAGATGGGAGATGAAGATAGGAAAGGGAGGCAAAAAACAAAACAGAAGTGGAAGAAAGGAGAGGAAAGAGAGGGAGGGAAAAGGAAAGGCACAGTGGTTGGCTCAGGCAAGAGTCAATGATACTCAAGTCACAGGGAGTGGGCCCACATCTGGACAGAACAGGAGCCGGAGGACTCCCAGCCCAGAGACCACAGCAGCTTGTCAGTGAGATGCTATTCCAGAAACAGCCACCAGATGGCATACGAACCCCACCCCACCCCACGCCCCACCCCACGCCCCGCCCCCGCCCCCGCCCCCGCCCCCGCCCCCGTCGACCCGAGTCTAGCTCTAGTAGCCTGGGATCAACCGACCTAACTAGCCTAGTGCACAGATAGCCCAGGTGGGACAGCAACGTGGGCCTTTCTCCCCATTCCATTTCACCGAGGGGAAAAATGAGGGTGCAGGGACAGGAATGAATCCCATGCTTAGGGGATCCAGGATTAAAACCCAGTATCTGCAAGCTCTTACTGAGTGGCTGCGGGCTGGTCAAGCATGCACGTTTTCAGGGCCTGAAATAGCATCAGGAAGCAACAGAGGAAGGAAGGTCCAGATGGAAAGTCCGCAGTGATCGGAGCCATGAAAGGCATCTTTTTTTTTTTTTTTTTTTTTTTTTTTTTTTTTTTTTTTTTGAGACGGAGTCTCGCTCCGTCGCCCAGGCTGTAAGTGCAGCGGCGCGATCTCGGCTCACTGCAAGTTCTGCCTCCCGGGCTCCCGTTCTCCTGCCTCAGCCTCCCGAGTAGCTGGGACTACAGGCGCCCGCCACCACGCTCAGCTAATTTTTTTGCATTTTTTTTTAGTAGAGACGCGGTTTCATCGTGTTAGCCAGGATGGTCTCGATCTCCTGACCTCGTGATCTGCCCGCCTCAGCCTCCCAAAGTGCTGGGATTACAGGCGTGAGCCACCGCGCCCGGCCCACAAAAGGCATCTTAAAGCCTCCTTGGCCCTGCTTCCAGGGAGACAAAGGTAACCAGACTCTTGGTTCTGTGTGTTATTACCAACAGATTTACCCACCAGGGAGCCCAGCACCAACACTGTCCTCCTTCGGTAACGCACATGTTAAGGGACACTGTGGGCTGGCACAAAGTCAGACCCATGGCTTCTAGGGAGCCAGCTTTGGACTCACTGCAGAACAAGCCACAAAGCCATGTCCCTGGCCTTGTAGCTGAGTTTTACTGACCAACCCAAACCATGTGGTTCCCAAGCAGCCCTTGGAGGGTTGATTATATCTACTGTCCTGCCCCATCCCGGCCTGCTTACCTCTCTGCCTCCTCTACATGCTGTAGATTGAAAAGCAGTGATGGAACGATCTTATCCATGTGCTGTGGGTCCCAGATATTGGCCTGCAGTTCATCATTCACCGTCTTCCTCACCACCCCTTGCAGGCCTTTGATGCCTGACATTCGAATTCTGTAAGGAAAAGGGTGAAGTGGGACTCGGAAGTCCTCTAGCCCTGAGAAGTCCAGCTTCGGTGGCTAAGAGAAGAGCACAGCTTAGGAGTCAGGGATACATTTGTCCATCAGAAGGCAGAATGGAGACCAGCTGCTACTCTCATGAGACCTCCTGGTGCTGGCAGACATGAGCCCAGGAAGCCATGTCTTTTTAATCATCTTGGAGACTCCCAGGCTGCCCTTGCCCTGGTACCATCTGGGCTCCAGCCCTAGGGTGCTGGATGCTCCAGCTCCCCATCTTTAGTACTTAGCTGGGGTTGTTCCAGCTTGGGCCCAAGATGTAAGAGCTCAAAACGCTGCCAAGAACTGATGAAGCAGAATCCGAGGCTGTGAGCAACTTGCGGGGGCAGGGGGAGGCGGATCCAGAGGGAGAGGCACAGAGCTGCAGGCTCTCTGGGCACAAAGGGGTGTCGGCTTGGAGCTAGGGTTAACCAGAGGGGAAACTGAGTAACAGCACAGCAGGAGCCCCTTTTGTACACCCCCAGTCCCTGCTATGTGAACCCAGGGTCAGCACAGCTCTGTGGGAGGGAGCCCTCTTTACTAGCCATTTATTTCAGACTGAAGTTTCTTTCTTTCTTTTTTATAAAACCTTTTTTCTGGTTATAAAATAATACATACTAATCATAGAAAAGTATAGAGAAGAGAAGATTTACCACTACCACCACCACTACCACTGTTATCTTTGTTATCAAACATAACTGTTATTGGCATTTTGATGTAATTCCTTTCTTCTGTGCATAATATATAACAGAATTAAGAACCTATTGCATATTTTATTTGTATTGGCTTTTTTCACATACATTCTATGCATTTTCCTATGTCATTAACTCTTCATAAACATGTTGAATGGTTGCCTGATAGACTATCATAAGACCTTTCTAAACTAGTGACTATTAGTCATTTAAGTTGTTTCCAAATGTTTTGCTTTTTTTTTTTTTTTTTTTTTTTTTGAGGTGGAGTCTGGCTCTGTCGCCCAGGCTGGAGTGCAATGGTGCGATCTTGGCTTACTGCAACCTCTGCCTCCCGGGTTCAAGCAATTCTTCTGCCTTGGCCTCCTGAGTAGCTGGGATTACAGGCATGTGCCACTATGCCCGGCTAATTTTTGTATTTTTAGTAGAGACAGGGTTTCACCGTGTTGGTCAGGCTGGTCTTGAACTCCTGACCTCATGATCTACCCGCCTCAGCCTCCCAAAATGCTGGGATTACAGGTGTGAGCCACCGTGCCTGGCCAAACGTTTCACTTTTATAATAATGCTATGATGGGCATCATTGTATGAAATATTTTACTATGTTTCAAGTCATTGCCATGAGTGGAATCAATGAGTCAAAAGGTAAGAAATAAAAGGCAGCCAGACACAGTGGCTCACACCTGTAACCCCAGCACTTTGGGAGGCAAGGCCAGTATATAGCTTGAGCTCAGGAGTTCGAGACCAGCCTGGGCAACATGGCAAAATCTCATCTCTACAAAAAATTAAAACATTAGGCCGGGCGCGGTGACTCACGCCTGTAATCCCAGCACTTTGGGAGGCCGAGGTGGGTGGATCACCTGAGGTCAGGAGTTTGAGAACAGCCTGGTCAACATGGTGAAACCCCGTCTCTACTAACAATACAAAAATTAGCCAGGCATGGTAGCAGGCACCTGTAATCCCAGCTACTCGGGAGGTTGAGGTGAAAGAATTGCTTGAACCCAGGAGGTGGAGGTTACAGTAAGCGGAGATCATGCCACTGCACTCCTGCCTAGGCGAAAGAGTAAGACCCTGTCTCAAAAAAAAAAAAAAGAAAGAAATTAGCCAGGTATGGTGGTGCGCACCTGTAGTCACAGATACTCAGGAGGCTGGGGTGGAAGTACTGATTGAGCCTGGGAGGCAAAGGTTGCAGTGAGCTGAGATCATGTGAGATCATGGCACTGCACTCCAGCCCGGATGAAAGAGTGAAACTCTGTCTCAAAAAAGGAAATGAAAGGCTCCCAATTTGCCAAAATAACTGCCCCCACCCCCTGCCCATGCGCAAGCCGCAGGAGAATGCCACTCTCACAGTGCCTGTGGCAGTATTGAGGATCTCATTTTAAACATCTGTTCTAATTTTATGACTCCAAAAAATCCTCACATTTTGTAGCTATTTCAATTCAAATCCTTTTGTGATTATTGGAGATGAGCAGTTTTTCTCAAGGTTGAGTTGCCAGTTGCATTTTTAACTTCGTTTTTTTTTGAGACGGAGTCTCGCTCTGTCACCCAGGCACGATCTCGGCTCACAGCAACCTCCGCCTCCCGGGTTCACGCCATTCTCCTGCCTCAGCCTCCCCAGTAGCTGGGACTACAGGCGCCCGCCACCACGCCTGGCTATTTTTTTGTATTTTTAGTAGAGACAGGGTTTCACCGTGTTAGCCAGGATGGTCTCGATCTGCTGACCTTGTGATCCTCCCGCCTTGGCCTCCCAAAGTGCTGGGATTACAGGCGTGAGCCACCGTGCCTGGCCTTAACTTTGGTTTTAACTGGGGTTGCCAGGGTGCTACCCTGGGTCTTACCGAGGAACTGTGGCTGGAGGTGGCAGCAGCCTAGGAGAAACAGGATACCCTGGCCCAGAAACTTTTAGGGCCACTGGCGATGGGCAAGGATTCCCTGGAAGCACCTGGCCACGCTGTCCTGACCCTGACCACATTCAAGACCCTGAGCTGGCAGCTGTCCGGACTTGGGAATGAACGATCAGGAATACTGTCCTGCTGACTCTTCTTAGTTCCAGTTTAAAAAGGCACTCCCTAACCAAGGGACAAGTGACACACATCCCCAGCATGCTGGACTCGTTTGTCCCGTCCAAGTGGGCCTGGCTGGCAGGAAACAACGCCTGGTTGGCAGAAAAACTTCTACCCAGGGCTCCCTTATGTGTACATGTGAATTAATCTTTCTTCTTTTCCTAACTACCTTGCACTCCTTCACCTTCAGTCTCCCCAGAATCCCTTCCACAAATGCACGATTCATTCTGTGACACCCAGAGCTGACCGTGCCTTTCAAAAGAAGTTCAGAAAGATCAGGCCTGGAGGGGGAGGAAGCTTCTTACTCTTCCTATTCATTTATTTATTTATTTTTCGACACGGAGTCTCACTCCGTTGCCCAGGCTGGAGTGCAGTGGCACAATCTTAGCTCACTGCAACTTCCACCTCCCAGGTTCAAGTGATTCTTGTACCTCAGCCACCTGAGTAGCTGGGACTACAGTTGTGCGCTACCATGCCTGGCTAATTTTTTGTGTTTTCAATAGAGACGGGGTTTCACCATGTTGACCAGGCTGGTCTTGAACTCCTGACCTTAAGTAATCTGCCTGCCTCAGCCTCCCAAAGTGCTGGCCATATAGGCTTTAGCCACCACACCTGGCCCTTACTGCTCCTTTTTTTTTTTTTTTTTTTTTTTTTGAGACAGAGTCTCGCTGTGTTGCCCAGGCTGGAGTGCAGTGGCACTATCTCGGCTCACTGCAAGCTCTGCCTCCGGGTTTACACAATTCTCCTGCCTCAGCCTCCCGAGTAGCTGGGATTACAGGTGCCCGCCACCACGCCTGGCTAATTTTTTTTGTATTTTTAGTAGAGACTAAATAGGGGTTTCACCGTGTTAGCCAGGATGGTCTCCATCTCAATCTCCTGACCTTGTGATCCGCCCCGCTCGGCCTCCCAAAGTGCTGGGATTACAGGCGTGAGCCACTGCGCCCGGCCCTACTGCTCCTCTTAATGGGCACAGTGGAGATCTACCCATGACCAAGGGCCCCATGAAGTCTCTGAATCCAAGGAAAGATCAGATAATACTGATCCACTGACCCTGAGGAATCACACACACACACACACACACACACACACACACACACACACACACACACACACACTTGCATGCACAGGCCCACTGCTGGACCCAAGGGTGTTACTGGAAAGGGCAGTCAATGGCATTCAGAGGCAGCCTCTGGGTTCCTAGACCAAAATGATGCTATGTGTGTGGACAGCCCAGCACAGCTGCCACCGGGTCAGCTGAGTCTAAAAAGGCTGAGAATGAACAACAGGAGAGATCTCAGGGAAAAAGGGGTGCAGGGAGGGGACGGAAGAGAAAGGCAAGAAGAGGAGGAAGGAAGAAAATTGACACCAGAAGATCCCTCCTCCACCCTCTCTCACCCACAGGCCTTCCTGTCATGGGTGACCAGCGCCAGCCTGTGGGTGTAATGGCACTGCTGGTGGCTGGGAGCCAACCTCAGCAGCCTTCCTCCTGATGTTCAGGAAACTCCTGATCCTGCTGGAACACAGTGCTGACCACATCACACACTACAGATCATGTGTATGTGCACATGTGTCTGTGTGCATGTGTGCGTGTGTGCACGTGTGTGCAGTGGCATGAGTGGCCCATCCACTCCCCCACCACCCTGGGACAGCTTGGCAGGGCCTGCGTGGGCAGCATGTGTTACAGACATATGTGGCCATGGTCCTATACCTCCCCTAACACCTGCTTCTGGACATGCCCCCACAGCTCCAGCCCCTCTGGCTCTTCATAGCCATTTTGCAATGGTGGTGACTCAGGAAGCTAATTCTGGGAGAGGATGAGGGGCTCCTTCCTCCCATACCCCACTCTGGCCTCACCAGAGGCACTCAGGCAGGGCAGCTGCAGAGTCCACACCTGGCTTATGAGAGTCTCGGGGACTGGGGGAACCCAGACAATGCCACACAGTTGCACCGGGCCCTGCCCAGGAGTCGGTCTACTGCCTTGGAAGCATATATTCATTTTAATTTCTTTGTGATTAATTGTTTTTTTTTTTTTTGAGACAGGGTCTCACTCCGTCACCCAGGCTGGAGTGCAGGGGTGCGATCATGGCTCACTGCAGCCTCGACCTCCCAGGCTCAAGAGATCCTCCCACCTCTGCCTCCTAAGTAGCTGAGAATACAGGCACGTGCAGTCATGCCCAGCTAATTTTATTTTTTGTGGAGGTGGGGTCTCATTATGTTGCCCAGGCTGGCCTCAAACTCCTGGGTTCAAGTGATCCTCCTGCCTCAGCCTCCCAAAGTACTGAGATTACAGACATGAGCCACTGCACCTGGTCAATTTCTCTGTGATTTTATTTGAGAGATTTTGCTTCTATGTCCAAGTATGCTTCTGTGAGCTAAGTGTTTTTATAAATTGGAGTATGTGTATGTAAAAGCGTATCCCGTAAGGCAAGATGCTTGTCTGAGGGTGTTCATTCATTCTGTTATTCACTCAACAAGAATTTGTCAAGTGCCACTGCTCTCCAGGCAGTGTTAGTGCTTGGGATGCATCCGTGAGTAAAACGACGGACCCTGCCCTCACAGAGCTTACATCCCAGTGGGAAGAGACAGGTGGTGAACAAGAAACACAGAGAGTAATGTATGAAACATGTTAAAAGGGGAAAGAAACCCCGGCAGAGTGAGGGAGGAGTGGGCATGTGGGGGTGTGCAGGGCAGCTTCACTGACAAGGGGACATTTGAGCAAAGGTTTGACAGAGGCGATGCAGTGAGCCATGCAGATCCCTGGAGGAAGCATTCCCAGCACAAGCACAGACTGTGCAAAGGCCCTGAGGCAGTGTCTGTGGTGTGCTGGAGGGGAACGAGCAAGCAGGAGGGCCAAGGAGATGGAGTGGAGAATGCAGCTGGGATCAGCCAAAGTGTGAACTTTGGCTCTTTATTGGTAGGTGTAGATTTTGATGGTTAATGGTGAGTGGGTGTGTTTCTGGAGTATAAATGCATATAATTCTGAACAAAAGAGTGTATGGAGGGCTGTGTGTGTGTACACATGTGTGTTCTGTCACTGGCTCTCAAATTGGGCTCAAAGGACTGTTATCTTACATTGAGCCCCTTTGTCTGGCCCAAGCAGTTTTTCCTTTAGAAACCACATGTGGGGGCCGGGTGTAGTGGCTCCCGCCTGTAATCCTAGCACTCTGGGAGGCCGATGTGGGTGGATCACCTGAGGTCAGGAGTTTGAGATGAGCCTGGCCAACATGGTAAAACCCCATCTCTACTAAAAATACAAATATTAGCCGGGCGTGGTGGTGCACATCTGTAATCCCAGCTACTTGGGAGCCTGAGGCATGAGAATCACTTGAACCTGGGAGGCGGAGGTTGCAGTTAGCCAAGATCGCGCCACTGCACTCTAGCCTGGGCAACAGAGTGAAACTCGGTCTCAAAAAGAAAAAAAAAAAAAACAGAAACCACATGTAGGGAGCTGGGTGCTGGCCCACCTGCCCGGCAACATCAGAGCAGACACAGATACTAACAAAAGCAGACACGCAATGGCAGGTTGGAAGTTATCTACAGGACCCACCGTTGCTTCTGCTGTAAGCTGAACCAACTACCCTTGCCTTCCCCTACTCACTTGGTCTTGATTTCTAAGTCATCATGGCTCGAGTGGCACATTTCACTGAATCGGGACACAAAGAAGTCATAGCTCCGGTGATAGGACGGGGTGTCCTCCTCGATGTTGGCAAACTTCACAAACTATCAGGGAGGAAGGAGAGAAACACACGAGAGAGGTGACCCACCATGCTTCTCACTGCTGGGCATCCCCAGACCCCCTGCCATGGTCAAGCCATGGGAACCACGCATCCTGGAGCCAGCTTGGCCGGCCTTGCAGAGCACACTGGGGAGATGAGTTCCCAATCCCGCTCGCCTCTCCTGTTGCACAATAAGATTGGAAACCATGGCCCTTCTCAGGCCTCCCCTGCTGCGGGAGCAGAGGACAGAAGAGAAGGGAACATGAAAGGGCTCACAGAAGCACCTGCCCTCATCGCTCCATCCAGAGCTGCACAAACACACGGGGGCGGGGAGGCTGTTAGGAATAATACGGAACCTGAGTGAAAGCCAGCGACGAAGCAGGAGCACCACCCTCAATGAATTCGAGGACACAAGAACAAATCTGAAATTTGACTTTAAAATGTAATTACACTTTATTGTTAGAAACTGGAGTTTGGCCAGGTACAGTGGCTCATGCCTGTAATCCCAGCACTTTGGGAGGCCGAGGCAGGTGGATCATTTGAGGTCAGGAGTTCGAGACCAGCCTGGCCAACATGGTGAAACCCTGTCTCTACTAGAAATGCAAAATTAGCCAGGCTTGGTGGCAGGCACCTGTAATTCCAGCTACTTTGGGAGGCTGAGGCAAGAGAATTGCTTGAACCCGGGAGGTGGAGGTTGTAGTGAGCCGAGATCACACCACTGCGCTCCAGCCTGGGCGATAGAGCGAGACTCCATCTCAAACAAAAACAAAAACAAACAAAAACAATGATAACAACAAAAATTGGAGTCCATTTTTAAAGTTTGCCATTTCAGTTCAGTAGGTCTTGATCGGCATCCTGGGCAGCTAGATTCCTCCTGCACCAGGGTGCTGCACATTTGCAATTCTAAATAGAGACTTAATTTCAACTGAGTCCTGCAGAGAAGCAACAGTCATGAACTAAATGAAGTTAAATTACTAAATATTTAATATGATTCTTACAGGGCTTTTGTTGCTGTTGTTGTTGTTGTTGTTTTTGAGACGGAGTCTTGCTCTGTCGCCAGGCTGGAGTGCAGTGGCGCGATCTCAGCTCACTACAACCTCCACCTCCCGGGTTCAAGTGATTCTCTTGCCTCAGCCTCCTGGGTAGCTGGGACTACAGATGCGTGCCACCATGCCCAGCTAATTTTTGTATTTTTAGTAGAGACGGGGTTTCACCATGTTGGCCAGGATGGTCTCGATCTCTTGACCTTGTGATCCGCCCGCCTCAGCCTCCCAAAGTGCTGGGATTACAGGCATGAGCCACTGCGCCCGGCCAGGGTTTTTTTTTGAGATGAAGTCTCACTCTGTTGCCCAGGCTGGCATGCAATGACATGATCTCGGCTCACTGCAACTTCCTCCTCTCGGGTTCAAGCGATTCTCCCGACTCAGCCTCCTGACTAGCTAGGATTACAGGCACCTGCCATCATGCCCAGCTAATTTTTTTTTTGTAGAGACAGCGTTTCACCATGTTGATCAGGCTGGTCTTGAACTCCTGACCTCAGGTGATCCACCCACCTCGGCCTCCCAAAGTGCTGGGATTATAGGCATCAGCCCCCGTGCCCAGCCTTTATAGCTTATTTGGTTTACTGTTATTAATCTAGTACCCCCAAACAACTAAAAAGGTTAGATTCACAATAAAATATATTCTCCATTATTCAGCCCTCTATTATTATTTAATTTTTATAAACATGTGTTGGGTCAAAAAGGATATAGTATTCTTCCCAAAAGTATCTAGTTAGTGGACTCTCATAATATTTAGTATTGTCAATTTGTGTCTGTATTTAACAACTTAAAAGTTGTTAATAACTTTTTCTGGATGAAAATTAGCAGCTTCCACAAACATCATTAATTATTGTAGTGTTTTATTCTTACAATAATAAATACAACAGCTATTTTCTGTTGACTGAGAGAATCCCAACATACAAGCAAATAAGGAGATCTTTCCTTCCAAGCTACATCTAAAATGGATTCATATATTTGGGAGTGAATATTCCGATGTTAGCAATAAATCCAAGTGGCATTGCTGGCATGACTGATGTGGTGACGCAGAAGAGGCACAGTGGTAATCCACGTGATCACAAGATCATCGATTACGTACAAGTTCAGGAGAGTTCCAGAAAGAAGGCTGAAGTCGGCCTTCGGCTGCCTGGCCTTCATAAGCCCCCAAGGCTGGAACAGACTTGAGGTGCTGAAGCCACGTTTGGCTGAAGTTAAGTTTGGGTGCATCACTGCCCTTAGCCACCGGCAGCATGTTCCCCGGCTGCACTCCTCACAGCCAAAGGCTGGTCCGGTCAGGGTGTCTGTCCACTCAAAGGAGACACACAGCTCTAGCAGGTTCTAAATGCAGATCTAGCTCTGCATTAGGAGGTGTGGACTTTGAATGAGACATTTAACTTCTTTTTATGTTTTGGTTTTCCCATGTGCAAAACAAGCAGCCCGGTTGTCACTGAGGTTCTTTTAAAGTTTCAAAAATATATACTATGTCTACTTCGAATATTATGAGGCAGATTAAGACTCCCTGTGTGTGTAAGACTGCATGAATTTTAATAAAAGAAATGATGAAAAAAAGAGGCCAATAATAAAGAGAAAGAAACAAACACAGACTTTGTCCCCAGCATGTAGTGACTGTGTAGACTCAAATGTACATTAGGAGAATGAATGGCCAAAATTAATGTTCACTGGTTTGGGAGTCTGATTCTCCCACCTCAGCCTCCCTAGTAGCTGGGACTACAGCCACGATGCCTGGCTGGTTTTGTATTTTTAGTTGAGACGGGGTTTCACCATGTTAGCCAGGATGGTCTCCATCTCCTGATGTCATGATCCGCCCGCCTTGGCCTCCCAAATTGCTGGGATTACAGGTGTGAACCACCACGCCCTGCCTTTTTTTTTTTTTTTTTTTTTTTTTTTTTTTTGTAGAGACAGGGTCTCATTGTGTTGTCCAGGCTGGTCTCAAACTCCTGGGATCAAGCAATCCTCCCACCTTGGCCTCCAACTTGCTGTTTTTGACATACGCTGTGAAATAGTCACCACGGTTAAGCCAGTTAACGTAACACCTCACATAGTTGCCACTTTCTTTCCTCTTCCCTCCTTCCTTTCTGTGGTAATTACATTTAAGATAGCTAAGATGTGGAAATAACCTAAATGTCTGACAAATAAATGGATCTAGAAAATGTGGCATATCTGTGTATACACACACACACAGTGGAATATTATTCAGCCTTAAAGAAGAAGGGAATCCTGACAGCTGCAACAACATGGATGAACCTGGAAGACATTATGCTCAGTAAAACAAATCAGACGCAGAAAGACAAACACTGCCTGATCTCACTCATATGTGCAATCTAAAATAGTTAAGCTCAGCCAGGCGCAGTGACTCACGCCTGTAATCCTAGCACTTTTGGAGGCGGAGGCAGGCAGATCACTTGAGGTCAGGAGTTCGAGACCAGCCCGGACAACAGGGTGAAACCCCGTCTCTACTAAAAATACAAAAAATTTGCCAGGCATGGCGGTACGCGCCTGTAATCCCAGCTACTCGGGAGGCTGAGGCAGGAGAATTGCTTGAACTCAGGAGGCAGAGGTTGTAGTAAGCCAAGATCACACCACTGCACTCCAGCCTGGGCGACAGAACGAGACTCAGTCTCAAAATAAAATTAAGTTAAAATTAAATATAAAATAAAATAAAATGTCAAGCTTGCAGAAGCAGAGTAGAAGGGTGATTGCCAGGGGCTGCGGGGAGTGGAAATAGGGAGACGTTGGTCAAAGGGTACAAACTTTCTCCAGTTTTTATTCCTGCCTTCTGCTTCCTCTAGCCTCAGGCTAGATGACCCAGGAGCATTGCTGCTGGGGAGCAGGGGATGATATTGTTAGAGAACAAGAGGTGGATGAGAAAGTGGGCAATAGGCACCTTAGTATTATTTTATTAAGAGGAGCCGGGCACGGTGGCTCATGCCTGTAATCCCAGCACTTTGGGAGGCCAAGGTGGGCAGATCACCTGAGGTCAGGAGTTCGAGACCAGCCTGCCCACACGGAGAAACCCCATCTCCACTAAAAATACAAAATTAGCCGGGCTTGGTGGCGCATGCCTATAATCCCAGCTACTTGGGAAGGCTGAGGCAAGAGAATCGCTTGAACCTGGGAAGTGGAGGTTGCAGTGAGCCGAGATTGCACCATTGCACTCCAGCCTGGGTAATAAGAGCAAAAAACTCTGTTTCAAAAAAAAAAAAAAAGAGGGTGGGGGACAGGTAGGGTGGGGCTGGAGGTGGGAGGACTTGGCTTTTCAAACACTTCCAGACAGCAGAGTCACAGGGCGCTGCTGACCACACTGGTTTCTGTCCCCCACCCCTCCCAGACATGCTGAGTCTGTCCTGGAAGAGGCTGGGGAATCTCAGTGGGCCAGTCTGAGGCCCACACCTGGGAAGCCACGCCTGGGAGCCGCAGGCAGGGGCTGACGGGCAGTCCCGCCTACTCTCTTCCTCTCGCCTCCCTACACCCATGCCCCTTGGAACCCATTCCTGATCCTGGTGGAACGGGGACACCAAGACCCCTCCACGTTCAACTTTGACTTTCCTCTTCCTCAGCGAGCCGTGGCGCCATAGGACTGAGGCCAGTCAAGTCACACAGCCAGTGCAGCTGCTCACGGCCAGCGTCTGTCCTCATTATCCCTGCTGTCTATGCTGTTAAATATTTCAATCATTATCCCTGGCTGTAAGGTCAGAATTGACATTAAAATCAAATTTTTAAAAATGAGAGTTCTGCAGCTACCCCTGAGGTGGTGCGAGGTAGAAAACATAAGTGGTAATCCCTTTCCTAAAACCACAGAAGGCCTCATTCCAGACCAGGTCAGCAGTTTCTCCTGAATCTGTCCCAAGCGGGTCAGCCACAGCTGCTAACCTCACTGGAAAACTCCCTTGCTCTCTCCTTCTGCGGCTCCATGAGTCCCTGGATGTGTGTTCTTCTGTACTCCTCTTCCCTGACATATTAGTTTCGAATCTTCAAAAAAAAAAAAAATTTTTTTTTTGAGACAGTCTCGCCCTGCTGCCCAAGCTGGAGTGCAGTGGCGCCATCTTGGTTTGCTGCAACCTCTGCCTCCTGGGTTCAAGCAATTCTCATGCCTCAGCCTCCCAAAAAGCTAGGATTACAGGTGCCCGCCACCACACCTGGATAATTTTTGTATTTTTAGTAGAGACGGGGTTTTGCCATGTTGACCAGGCTGGTCTCAAACTCCTGGTCTCAAGCAATCTGCCTGCCTTGGCCTCCCAAAGTGCTGGGATTACAGGCATGAGCCACCGCACCTGGCCTGTTTCCTTTTCTTTAAAATGTATCTATCACCTCCTAGGAACATGAATAAAGTAGAGAAGATTCAGAAAAGCTCCCTGAGCTCCTGGAGTAACAGGAACTGTGTGAACTCAAGGCATATTATTAGTAAGGTTCTTATTCTAAGAGGCTTAGACTTTTTATGACCCTACAGGATTCAGCACCACACAATCATTGAACAGCAGTATTTGCTGGGGCAATGTACAAATACATTCCACTCACCACTTAAAAAACAGCACGCCATTCTTAACATGCCTGGGACTCCACTCACTGTTCTTTCCCATCCCACTTGATCAGGAAAACACATTTCAGATATGGTTGTAGTAAAGCTTATTTGCTTTCGTTTAATGCATGCCTTGTTCTGTTGGAAGCCTTCAAAATATCCGAAAGACATCACAAAGCCCGAGTTCTAGAAGAGGCTATTCATAGACATAGGAGTTTTCATCAGGAATGGCGAGGCCAGGCCCAGTTAACACCTACAGTCTAAGTAATAACAGCAGTAAATATTTCTGTGGCACTCACTGCTTAACACGTCAGTGTTAGCTGTCTCTGTGTTGTCTCTGCCTCAGTCTTGACATCATCTTCTCCTCTGTGTGTCAAATCTCCCTCTGCTTATCTCTAATAAAATGCTTGTGATTGCATTTAGACCCACCTGGAAAATCCAAGATAATCTCCCAATCTCAAATTAAGTTAGTCCTTAATTTAATCACAGCCGCCAAGACCCTGTTTCCATATAAGGTAACGTGCAGAGGTTCCAGGGATTAAGATGGAGACACCTATTGACGCATCATTTTCCAGCTGATCACAACATCCATTATCTGATACGATTTTCAGCAAACTAGTGAGTTTAGCAGAACATGTGTTGCTCCCATTAGAGAGATGAAAAAACTGAGGCTTAAAGGGAGCAAGTGAATTATTTCAGCTCAACCCGCTTGCGACAGGTGGAGCTGAGCCTCAGGCTTGGGAATTCTCACACTGGGTCGCATGATCTTAGCTCTTTACATTTTAATGTGTATCAGAACTACCTAGGGAGCTTGTTTAAAATACAGATTTCTGAGCCACTCCAGCCTACTGCCATCCTACTGAACAAACTCTCTAGGGGTTGGGCTTAGGTATCTGCATTTTCTTTTCTTTTCTTTTTCTTGAGACAGTATCTCACTCCTGTCGCCCAGGCTGGAGTGCAGAGGCGTGATCACGGCTCACTGCAGCCTTGACTTCCTGGACTCAGCCGATTCTCCCACCTCTGCCTCCCGAGTAGCTGGAACCACAGGTATGTGCCACAATGTCCGGCTAATTTTTTATTTTGTACAGATGGGGTTTCAGTGTTGTCCAGGCTGGTCTTGAATTCCTGGGCTCAAGTGATCCACCCAGCTTGGCTTCCCAAAGTGCTGGGATTACAGGCGTCAGCCACTGCGCCCGGCCAGGTACCTGCATCCTTAAGTGCCCGCTCCCCCTACTCTGGGGCAGGGGATCTACAGGTCGCATGTACTTGGCCCAGGGTAAACTGGTCCCACAGCTATAGAAATGTTCTGAGGCAGGGTCAGGGGAAGAAAGCTCTCGCAGAACCTTGGGAAAAAGCTAGGGAAGCATGTTCTTGGTCAGGGAGGTCCGTCAAGGCTGGATGGATGGACAGCCACTTCCTCTGAAGGGGAGAACTGGGGTGGTTTGGGCTTGAACCAAGGGTAGCATGGCTCCATCTCTGGAGCATGCTGTTTGCCCTCTGGGGCCCAGGACTGCCTAGGAGGTTGCAGACTTGAGGCTCGGGCTGTTGACCATTCCATTCCCTCGGGCTGCCAGGACTCTTGCTCTGTTAGATATTCTAGTAAGACTGCACTTAATGCCAGTCCCCGATCTCCCGTGGAGAAGTGGTGTGTGCAACAGGGCTATCTAATAAAATAAGCACCTTTTTGGTACCAGGATCTCGAGCCTCCTTAGGATCCCTTGGTTTGACAGCTTGTGGGGAGATGCTTCCCTTCCCTGAGGCTGGAAGTATGAAAGCGCAGTCGCAGCAGCCCAGCTAGGTCACCTGGTCAGGGAGCGCTGTCCGTGGGTCCCTGTTGGGGCAGCTCCTAGAGAGCCCACCCTATGTGGTTCCTGAATCTTCCAGGGGTTGACATGAGGGGGCCAAGCTGGAAATTTTGGTGACAGTGATTCAGAGGGTCTGATGGGGTTTTTCCCGGGGGCCCTGGTCAAAGGACCACACCTATTGCGGAAGTCCACCTTGAAATGTGCCAATGTCTGGCTGAGATGAGGTTGGGACTCTCCGGTTTTAGAGCGAGTAAGCCCTTTTCCCTCTTAAAGAGGCAGTGTAGTGCTATGATTACAAGAAGGGGTTTGGAGCCAGACCACATATTTGAATCCTAATTATTAGTAGGGTGATCTGGGACAAGCTTACTTGTCCCAGCTTACTTAAAGCTCCTTGTGCCTCAGTTTCCCTGTCTTTCAAATAGGGGTAACCCAAGCACCTGCCTTGTAGGCTTGGTATGACCAAAGCTCTACCTGCCTCACCTGTCACAGTTAGGCACTGCCTCCTCATTTTCTCCCCCAGGGCATTTTTGGCCTGTCATCCATACTCCATGAATTTCCACTGGGCCCATTTACCTGTGTGACTGGTCACTATTTCTTTTTTTTTCTTTTCTTTTCTTTTTTTTTTTTTTTGAGACAGAGTCTCACTCTGTTGTCCAGGCTGGAGTGCAGTGGCACGATCTCGGCTCGCTGCAAGCTCCACCTCCCAGGTTCATGCCATTCTCCTGACTCAGCCTCCCGAGTAGCTGGCACTACAGGCGCCCGCCACCACGCCCAGCTAATTTTTTGTATTTTTAGTAGAGATGGGGTTTCACCGTGTTAGCCAGGATGGTCTCGATCTGCTGACCACAAGGTCAGGAGTGCTGGGATTACAGGCGTGAGCCCCCGCGCCCGGCCTGGTCACTATTTCTTTAAATCCATAATACAACAGGAACTCCTATCTGTTTCACCCCTACAACTGAGAACTCAGACTTTACAGATGACTTTTATTAAAATGCGAGTTCTAATGCATGAGATCATGAAAGATCATGGTTTTTTGTTTGTTTGTTTGGTTATTTGGTTTTGTTTTTTTGTTTTTAAGATATAGCAATGATGAGGAAAGTCGCCATAGCAAAAAACTGAAGATTTCGAACATGTGACATTTCAAAGGCCGGGGGCACTGCTAGGGCCACCCTTTCAAGATCAAAGTTTCAGCTTTTTATATACAACAAAGGGCACCAAGCTTGCTGGAGTGATCACCCACCCTGTAGTATAGGCAGCTAGGAGGCAAAATGGTGTGAAAACTGAGGGTTACTAAGGGTCAATAGAGAGTAAAAGCTCCAAAGATTGGCCTTGCAGGAACAGCTCTCTCCCGGTCTTATCACAGGCCAAGTCTCTCCAAACAGAAGATAGCCATTCCCTCTTCTATAGGTGTGCCTTCTGAACCAACCAACTTCCTGCTGTCAGTGACAGAACTATAGTTAAAAATACTGGGCATACATAAAACCCAACTTTCTCGCAGTTCAAGGACTGAAGGCCTTTTTGCTGCATTTACCTACAAAGAGAAAGGAGAACTGCTTCTTTGCTTCACTAGACTTAATCTGGGTAGAAAAATCAGCACCAAAGAACATTGCCCAAATTTAAGACAAGTCCTAGCTGGAAAGCAGATCTTGCCAACCATATGGTTTTGAGTTTACCATTGCCTGTCCCTTTCTCCCCACTGTCCTTGTTTATAGCAATTCCCTAGAGCAGTTTTCACTGTAGCCAGAGGCACAGTCCATCCCATCTTAACTTGATCATGTCCTGCCAACCTCCTGACTACCAGCCAAGGCATAGTAATTCCCCAGATCTATGACATACTCTCCTGTCCACCCACATTACACAGTCCCCCCTTCAAGACTCTTTGCAAAACTGGCTGTGGTTTTAAGGACTCCTGGGAAAGTCTAGTCCTTGCTGGCCCCAGGACACCATCCCTGCTGGCCCTGGGCAGCCCCATCTGCTGGACTCCAAGGACTGCACTCAGGAAGCACAGACCTCGGGGAACACCAGCTGGCTGCCTCTGCTCTCAGAGCCTGTCCCTACCTGGGGCTGAGCCCCATGCCTTGGGCCGTTCCACTGGCCTTGGTCTCTAGCAGTGCTGATTTTTGAACCAAAGTGCTGAAAATTGGGGCATATCTAGTCGACAGGTGACAGTTAAAACCACAAGAGTTGATGAAATTGTCCAGGGGCAGCATATCCAGTGAGAAGAGGGTAGAGCACAGAGCCTAGGAGACCACAGACACTCAGGGGGATGAGGAAAAAGAGAATTATTTGAAGGACACTGTCTTGGCTTCCTGTGGCTGCTGTAACAAGTTACCACAATTTAGTGGCTTAAAACAGCACACGCTTATTATCTGAGTTCTGGAGCTCAGAAGTCTGCAATAGTTCTGCATGGCTGCATTCCTTCTGGGGGTTCTGGGGAGCATTCATTTCCTCAGGCTTTCCAGCTTCCAGAAGCCACCTCCATCCTTTGGCTTGTGCCCCCTTCTCTATCTTCAAAGCCAGCAGCAGGGCATCTTCAGATCTCTTTGTCTCTGTCCCTCTGCTTCCATCATCACGTCCCCTTCTGTCCGACTCTGATCCTCCTGCGTCCCTCTTATAATGACCCTTGAGATTATATCAGGCCCACCTGGATTATCCAGGATAATCTCCCCCAGCTCGAGATTCTTAACTTGATCACATCTGCAAAGTCCCTTTTGTCATATAAGGTGGCATTCACAGGTTCCAGGGATTAGGACATAGGCAACCGTGGGATGGGGGCATCATTCAGCCTACCACAGAAACTAAGCAGGGCACATCCGGTGGGAAGAGGTGGAGTGACAGGCCTGAGGAAGTGAAGGGAGTGTGAACAAGGGTGGGATCCCAGGGAGAAATGGGCGTGATCCCAGGGAGAAATGGGCACGATCCCAGGGAGAAATGGGCGTGATCCCAGGGAGAAATGCCACCAAAAGATAAAAACATGAGGGGCAAGGTGGGTGGGGAGTGGGTTATTTTCATGGTTTCCACAGATTCTAACTGCAAAGAGAAAAATGTAATTTTACAATGGAGAGGGGTGGCTGGCCACACCCTAGGCCGGGATCACACTTGGCATCTGTAAAGGTGGGACACAGACATTTGTGCCTCCTGCTGTGATACCCGGTATAGCAACCCAAAACCCCCATGAAGTATTATAGCCGAAAGTAGTTACCTGCATCCAATCAAACTTTCAGATCTAATTCCAGTTTGCAGGAAATACAAGAGACAGGAGAGTCAGATAAGTGACACCGCAGCAAAGAACCAGACAAATCCAGAATGGAGGGCATTCTACAAAGCAACTGACCTGCCCTCTTCAAAAAGTCAATGTCATGAATAAAAGAGGGGCAGAGAGAGGTTGCGAAGCTGCTAAGAGAGTTAAGGGATGTAGAAAACAAATAAATAGTCTTTACTAAGTTCTGATTTGAAAAAGGATAGCAATGCAGACAACGGGGGAAAATTAGGGAAATCTGGATTTAGACGACATATTAAAATAAGATCAGGGAATGACTGTTGATTCTGTCAGGCAAGCTAATGGCATTTCGTAGTTATGCAGGAGAACGTAATTTTTTTGTTTTTCTCTTGTTTATTAATTTAATTTATTTCTACACTGCAAGAGACTTGAACTTGTGTTTAGATTGAGGGAAGGAATCAAAGCAAGGCAAAGGGTGGAGATGGGGAAGGGGCAGAAAGAATGGATGCAGGGAGGCTCCGGAGGGGCTGGGAACCCTTTGGAGAGGAAGAAGATGGGCACAGGAAGTGGAAGAAGCCCCCTGGGACAGCCCCCATTTCCTGAGTGGGAGAAGAAGGCAAAGGCATCTTGAGACTGAAGAAGCTGATTTGGGAGGGGAGTTTAGGGGAAAATGGAAGGTTTGTAAGGATCACTTGGAGGACGTGAGAGGAGGCTGCCTGAAAGCCCAGGTAAACTCCTAACGCACATATGTGTAGAGGCCCCAACCCACAGGCTGTGTGGTTTTCTGAGGTGGGGGCATTAGGGTAGAGAAGGCCGGGTGGCTGTGCAGGCCCTGGGAGGGTAAGGCAGGTGGACAGAGGGTGTCCCGAGGGCCCCGGAGGGTGGCAGAGGAAGGGAGTCTCAGCAAGAGCTGGAGCTTGGAACGAAACGAGGAGACCCAGGGAGGTGAGATCTCGTGAGGGGCAGGGGAGCAAGGAAGCAAGATGGGGGGGAACAGGGTGCTGCACAGCCTGAGTCACAAGGAGGGACGTCTCCAGGATCCCCATGACCCTGGCCTGCCACAGGGGAGCCGCCCTCCCCCCAACCTGCTGGGTGACTCGCTTTGCACCAGCCTCCGAGTGGGCTTGGTTTGAGGTTGTGGCACAGTAAAAGCAAAAATGCCTGTGTGCCATTGACTCTGGGTTACTCAGAGTACAACTTTTTAAAAAATTGAAGTAAAATTCACATAACATAAAATTAGCCATTTTAAAGTGCCCAATTCAGCGGCATTTAATCCATTCACAATGTTTTGCAACCAAAACATTTTCCTCACCCCAAAAGGAAACCCTATACCCACTCAGCAGTCCCTCCCCATTCCTCTCTCCCCCTTCACCTGGCAAACACAAATCTACTTCCTGTCTCTACAGATTTACCTAACTGAATATCTCATATACATGGGACGATAAATAGGTGACCTTTTTGGTTGTTTCTACCTTTCAGCTCTTGTGAATAGTGTTGCTATGAACAATTGTGTACAACTATTTGTTTGAGAACCTGTTGTTAATTATTTTGGGTATATACCCGGCAGAATTGCTGGGCCATATAATTCCATATGTTGAACTTTTTGAGGAAGCACCAAACTATTTTCCAAAGGCGCTGCACCATTTTACATTTCCACCAGCAAGTATGATGGTTCCGGTTTCCACACATCCTTGCAAACATTTGCCATCTTTTGTGTGTGGGACTGTGTTTTTAATTGCCATCTTAGGGGGTGTGAAGTGGTGTCTTGTTGTGGTTTTGATTTGTATTTCCTTAATGATTAGCGATGTTAAGGATCTTTTCATGTGCTTCTTGCCATTTGTATATCTTTTTTGTGAAAATATCTATGAGAGTTCTTTGCCCGTTTTTAATTAGGTTTTTTTTTTTGTTGTTAAGTCTTAAGAATTATTTGTATATTCTGGTTATTGAACCCTTATTAGATATATGATTGGTAAATATTTTCTCCCTTTCTGTGGGTTATCTTTTTACTGTCTGATTGTGTCCTTTGGTGCATACAAGTTTTAATTTTAATTTAATTTTATTTTTTATTTTTTTTGAGACAGTCTTACTTTGTCATCCAGGCTGGAGTGCAGTGGAGCGATCTCGGCTCACTGCAACCTTCGCCTCCTGGGTTCAAGCAATTCTCCCACCTCAGCCTCCCAAGTAGCTGGGATTACAGCTCCCAAGTAGCACCACCACACCCCGGCTGAATTTTGTATTTTTAGTAGAGATGGGGTTTCATAATGTTGGCCAGGCTGGTCTGGAACTCCTGACCTCAAGCGATCCACCCACCTCGGCCTCCCAAAGTGCTGGGATTATAAGAATAAGCCACTGTGCCCAGACAAAGTTTTAAATTTTGACGAAGTCCAATTTATCTATGTTGTTTCTATAATTGCTTTTGCTTTTGATATCATATCTAAGAATCCATTGCCAAGTCCAAGATCATAAAGACTTATCCCTATAGTTTCTTCTAAGAGTCTTATAGTTTTAGCTCTTACATTTAGGGCTTTGATCTATTTTGAGTTAATTTTTGTGTGTGGTGTGAAATAGAAGTGAAAGTATAAACTTTCAATCTATGAATCTTCATAATATTTTACCGTTTGTATACACTAGGCTAATATATTAGATTGTTTATGTAGAGGATCTTGGCATCATCAGATTTAATATTTTTAGTTTATCATTAGTAAGTGCCCTTAAAAAATCAGGACATGTGGTGATTGACACTGTCCTCAAGACATGCATCTGGACCCAAGACATGCATCTGGACCCATCATGCAATGAGGCAGGTGTGCAGAAGTGAATCCCCAGTGAGTAAGGAGCTTAGCTGGCCCTGACTCCCCCACCTTCTCCTGGTGTTTCCAGTCCCTCATCATGATCCAAAGCCCAGGTATTCTCATTAAGGGCTGGAAAGCATCACTTAAATTTTCACTGGGCACGGTGGCTCACACCTGTAATCCCAGCACTTTGGGAGGGCGAGGCAGGTGGATCACTTGAGGTCAAGAGTTTGAGAAGAGCCTGGCCAACATGGTGAAACCCCATCCCTACTAAAAATACAAAAACTAGCCAGGCATGGTGGTGCACGCCTGTAATCCCAGCTATTCGGGAGGCTGAGGCCTTGAACCTGGGAGGCGGAGGTTGCAGCGAGCCAAGATGGCACCACTGCACTCCAGACTGGGCAACAGAGGGAGACCCCATCTCAAAAATAAAAATAAAATAAAAAATGAAGAACAAGAAGTAAAAAAAAAAAAAAGCTCACTTAAATTTTTAAAGTTGTACTTTACTGCATGTACTGTACAGGAGTGGTATTAGCTAATTTGGATTTTGTGACAAGTCTCTGGACAACTTCATCCTTGGGGTAATCAAGCACAAGCTGTATGAATATCTATATGGAATGAGGGAAGCAAGGGAGGGATATGGAGAGGGAGAGAAGAAAGAAAGAATAAAAGAAGGAAAGGAGGGAAGGAATCCTACACAGGCTTAAGACTAGAACGGGTCAGTAGTTCCCAGACCTAAATGGCATCACATGGGAAGCAAAAATATAGAGACTCCCAGGTCTCCTCTCCAGAGATGCGGGCCTGGTTGTCTGGTTGAGCCCTGGGAATTGGTAGGTTTCCAAAGCTCATTGGTCTGAGTTGGGGACCTTGAAGGGGGTATGGTTTCTGAAGAGACGTTCTGCAGAGGGGAGATTTGTGCTATGCCAATTCAGGGAGCAAAACCAGGTCTGAGGGAAAAGCTACAGGGAGGCAGAGTGGGCTCAGGGTGAGGCTTTTTCTTGACTTCTCACCCACAAGGCCGGGGGTTGCCTTGTGATAGACTAAGTCTGGTCTTGGGGGCTATCTGCACAGAGGCTGGGTGCCACACTTTGGAATCAAGGGCCCAATGAGGGGCTTCTGACCTTGCCACCCCCCAGATTCTAGGGAGAATATTAATAGATGCACAGGGGCCGAAAGAATCACTGTCTAAAGCCAGCGCTCTAGCTGTGTGAGCACAGACAAATCATCTCGCTTCTTGGCGTCCCATCTCTACACTGAGAAATCCAACAAAATGAGGGGTTACAATGAGCTTGATTCATTTTGCTTTCTCTTCCTTTTTCTCCTTCCCTTTCTTTTGATTTCCTGGCAGCAAAACCTTTTATCCAAATAAAATGCTGCAAACTTCCATACAAACAATGGAAAGGACCGGGCGTGGTAGCTCACACCTGTAATCTCAGCACTTTGGGAGGCCAAGGCAGGTGGATCACTTGAGGTCAGGAGTTCGAGACCAGCCTGGCCAACACAGTGAAACCCTGTCTCTACCAAAAATACAAAAAATTAACAGGGCCAGACACTGTAGCTCATGCCTGTAATCCCAGCACTTTGGGAGGCCGAGGCAGGCGGATCACTTGACATCAGGAGTTCGAGACCAGCCTGACCAACATGGTGAAACCCTGTCTCCCTTAGTTGGGTGTGGTGGCAGGCGCCTATAATCCCAGTTACTCGGGAGGCTTTGGCAGGAGAATCACTTGAACCTGGGAGGTGGAGGTTGCAGTGAGCCAAGATTGTGCCACTGCATTCCAGCCTGGGCAACAGAGTGAGACTCCATCTCAAAAAAAAAAAAAAAAAAATTAGCTGGGCATGGTGGCACACACCTCTAATCCTAGCTACTGGAGAGGCTGAAGTAGAAGAATCACTTGAACCTCGGAGGCGGAGGTTGCAGTGAGCCGAGATCATGCCAGTGCACTCCATCCGGGGTGACACAGCGAGGCTCTGCCTCAAAAAAAAAAAACTCCAGAGGTGGCTACTGGATGAAGTAGCAGTAAAGGGCCTAGAGACTTCTATTCCTCCTCTCCTAGGCCCCCTTTCCCCTCACAAAGCCCTGAATCCCTGTGAAGACCTGTTTGGAACTCCCGGGCTAGACTCTAAGATAATGTCATGCACTAGCATGCTAGCAGGTCTAAAACGATGAGGAGCAAAAGGACACTCTTCTCAGGAAGGCTCAAGAAGGTCTGGGCACAGAGAGCTGGAAAGAGCATCAGACAGGGACAGCAAGAGAAAAGGCTGCCTTCCAAGCTGCACTCTGGAGCTACTGCAAATATTTGACTTAACTCACTGACAATAGCTTGTCCTTATATCATCTTCATTGTCTGCAGCATAGCAATCATTAGTCAGCTTGCTCTCTGGCTGATGCGATGATTCACTGCGATGGGGAATCTGCAGGACACTGAATTTTTCATGCTGTAGCTGACAGAACACCTACCCTGGGCTAGGATTTCCTGTGGGGGAAGCTAGAGGTGGTGGCCACCTGCTTCCAGTGGCCCCCAGGGATGCATGGTGGCTGGTTCATTTTCCATTCAGAT
Source organism: Homo sapiens (assembly GCF_000001405.40). NCBI lineage: Eukaryota > Metazoa > Chordata > Mammalia > Primates > Hominidae > Homo > Homo sapiens. The sequence continues at coordinate 25,105,724 of NC_000002.12, read as the reverse complement.
GTTCTCTTCTAGGCTGTAGTTCTCTTAAACAGGACAACTAAAACAGTATCTGAAGCTGTTGCCAGAGCAACTTGACAAAGGACTTTCCCCTCAGTTAGTATATGTGTAATGTGTCAAAGGCAGCTGGCTCCCAGGGAGAGGAAAGAGAAGGGAATCTGTATAGGTTGCTACTCTTGGTCCTTGGAAGGAAAGTTGGAAGACTCTCTTCTGGTTAAATCAACTTATGTAGAACAGGAAAGCAGCTCTGACCCATGCCATAAAAATTCAGATTGAGGGCTGGGCGTGGTGGCTCACGCCTGTAATTCCAGCACTTTGGGAGGCTGAGGCGGGTGAATCACTTGAGCCCAGGAGTTTAAGACCAGCCTGGACAACATGGTGAAACCCCGTCTCTTCTAAAAACAAATATTAGCCAGGTGTGGTGGTGTATGCCTATAATCCCAGCTACTTGGGAGGCTGAAGCAAGAGAATTACTTGAACCCAGGAGGCGGAGGTTGCAGTGAGCCGAGATTGTGCCACTGCACTCCAGCCTAGGTGACAGAGCGAGGCTCAGTCTAAAAAAAATAATAAAATAAAATAATAAAAATTCAGGTTGGAAGGCTAAGGGGCAAACCTTAAACTTTTGTGATACCTGCAGATAGATAAAAGCTTCACTTAAGATCTGTAAAATAGTTGTATCTAAGCTGCATGAAGACCTGGAGCTTAAAGTATGTCCAAAAGGGGAAGGAATGGGAGAGACAGCAAGATATTAAAGACAACCAGGGCGTGGGAGTATGTTTAAATGCACACAAGAAGCAGGGAGTTTCTGACATATCTGATAGCTCTTCTCTAACAAAATCATACTCTCCCACGACCGCAGCCATTTGCACTGAGACCAGCATTAGCTTGGAGGACTAACAGAGACCAAGCTGAACCTGCTCATGGTACTGATGAAAAGACTGAGGCCCATAAAAGGTAACCTGCTCAACGCTTCACAGCGAGGGAAGGGCAGAACTGAGCCAGAAGCCCCGTGTCCTGCTTCCCCGTGGTCTTTCCACTGATCTGGTACCTTTGTCCTGGGGACATCACTTTACTCTATCTTTGAAAGGGGCATAACCTGGACAGCTTTCAAGATATGCCCCCATAGCGTGCTGAGTGGTGAGAGCCCTGGGTTCTTCCTGCCCTCAAAAGAAAGCCTCTGTTTCCATCGATTTTTATATCTATTGGGGGCCCCACTTAAAATTATTTGAGGGGAAAAATTCTATTAGTAAAAACAGTTTGGAGATCATCAATCTAACGCTAAACACATTAGATGGTGTTAATGGTTGCACAACTTTGTGAATACACTGAAACCACATTTTTTGTTGTTGTTTGTTTGTTTTTTGAGATGGAGTCTCTGTCACCCAGGTTGGAGTGCAGTGGCATGATCTCGACTCACCGCAACCTCTGCTTCCTGGGTTCAAGTGATTTTCCTGCCTCAGCCTCCCAAGTAGCTGGGATCGGATTACAGGTGTGTGCCATGACATCCGGCTAATTTTTGTTTTTGTTTTTTTTTGTATTTTTAGTAGAGATGGGGTTTTGCCATGTTGGCCAGGCTGGTCTCAAACTCCTTACCTCAAGTGATCCACCTGCCTTGGTCTCCCAAAGTGCTGGTATTACAAGTGTGAGCCACTGTGCCTGGCCACCACGGGGTTTAAAATGGGATGCTTGAAAGTGGTGAATTTTATTTTTAAAAATTATTTTATTATATATCTATATAAATTATATATTTGTTTAAATTAAAAAATGAAAGGGCCCTTTGTTCACACAAAGGGAGACCCTAAAACAAGCAGTGTGTCACACTTAGGGTTGGGAACCAAGAAGGAACAGAACATGACAGTGCCGACCCCGAGGTCTCCCTCTCCCCTGCCACCCCCCAGGATGCGGCTGGGAGACCTGGAGCCCCCTGGGCCGCTCCTTACCGAGTTGGTGCCGAGGATCTGCAGGTTGGGTTTCTCTGACTCCAGCAGCTTGGCCACCATCTTGAGGAAGCTCTCCACGAAGAGGTTGATGCTCTGGCAGTGGCAGGCCATGAGCAGCTGGTCCAAAGCCTCCATAGCAATGCACACGTACCTGGGGAGGGCAGCACATGCCGTCACTGGCCGCGCCCCTGCCACCCCATGGCCCAACCAGGGCATGCAAGGTGTCAGTGTGGTGACCTGGGCAATGCAGCATCCGGGTAATGAGGCTCCCCCACAGGCTGCCAACGTCTGGATAGCCTTTCCAACAAGTGTCTGCTCCAGCCCAGAACTGAGTCAGAATGAATTAGGGCTGGAAGGAAGCCTAGAGACCAACTCATCCAGCCCCTCCTTTTACAGATTAAGAACAGGACGACGGATGAGATAGAGCATTTCATGAGTCAACACAAAGAGCAAGATTGATGCTCACAATAGCAAACTCTAAGTCTAAACTCTATGAGGTCGGGGAATTATCCAATCCAAGTCAAGAAGTATTTATCGAGTGCCCACTGTGGAAAGGCTCTGTCCTAGACAGTGCAGGGGGTGTAAGGATGAAGAAGGCAGTCATTCAACTTAATGAGCTGAGATAAATACATAGATATTCCTTTAAAGAGAAAATAAATCCTACAAGAAAATCATGCATGATGGCCCATGAGGTTTCCAAGGATGGAGAGAGATGGCTCGAGTGGGGAGGAAGTCAAGATCTTTATGAAGAATCTGAGACAGGCCTGAGGACCAGCTTTAAGGAATAGAAAATTTGCAGGTATTGTGTTTGAAAGCCTCAGAAGTTCCATGATAAAGTACTATGCAAGCAATATGGTTGGCAGCATTACTATGTTTGGATGATACTTCTTACTTAGGGAATAAGACAGACAAGATGGACACAGAATAATTTTTTTTTTCCTCCTTATGAGGAATGTTCCCTATGTTAACTAAGTCTTTAAATTACTTAAACAATTCCTCTGAAGTCTAAAGCCTGAGTGAACAACTTCGGAAACTAGGAATACACAACATCCAATAGCAATGAGCCAAGTCCTCTCACTAGATGACTGACAACTAGTATGGTTTGGCTCCGCGTCCCCACCCGAATCTCACCTTGAATTGTAATAATCCCCACGTGTCAAGGGGGGCACCAGGTGGAGAGAATTGAATCATGGGGGCGGTTTTCCCCATACTGTTCTTGTGATAGTGTGTTCTCATGAGATCTGATGGTTTTATAAGGGGCTTCCCCCTTCGCTCAGCTCTCATTCTCTCCCCTGGTGCCATGTGAAGAGGTGACTTTCGCTATGATTGTAAGTTTCCTGAGGTCTCCCCAGCCCTGCAGAACTGTGTGAGTCAATTAAACCTCTTTTCTTTATAAATTACCCAGTCTTGGGTATTTCTTCATAGCAGCATGAGAATGGACTAATATAATGAAATAAAATGTCAACCTGAAGCCTAATAACCTCTATCCTCTATTCACAATTCTACTCTCAGGAGAAGCAAAAAAGAGGGCCATGCCATCTCCTACCTCCAGCTCCTCAACCCCTGAAGATAACAATCTCATTTGTTATTCTTGCTGTTCTCTCCTCTGTGCTAAATATACCCAAGCTCTCCCAAACTAGCCTTTACAGGACAACCCAATTATCTTAGTTGTCTTCTTCAATGCTTCTCATAAATCCCAAGAAAAATGCCAAGAATCAAATTCCTAATGAGAAGGAGAAAGGCACCTCTAAGCTCAAACTCCAAATTTGTTCCAAGAGTATGACATAACTAGTAATGTCTACATCATAAAACATACATCCTTCACTTACAAAGCATTTACATTCTAAAGAAAGAGAGGTTTTGTTTTTTGTTTTTGTTTTGTTTTGTTTTGAACTTCTAACAAGGAAGCTGCTGCAAACCTTTCAGAAATTATTCTGGTTAAAATCTTTACAGTTTCGGAGTTAAGTTTCCCGGGCAGAATGCTAGATGTCTCCCCTAAAATATGTCCCTTTGCCTTTCCCTAGAAATTCAGAATTTTAGCTGTGCATGTGGCTGCTCATTTGGGACTCCATTTCCCAGTCTCTCTTGCTGTGAGGTGAGACCACATGACTAAAACATTGCCATTAAAATGAGGGGAAGTGGCCAGGGCATGGTGGCTCACACCTGGAATCCCAACAGTTTGGGAAGCTGAGGTGGGCAGATTGCTTGAGCCAGGAGTTCAAGACAGCCTGGGCAACATGGCGAGACCCCTTCTTTATGATAAATGCAAAAATTAGCCAGGCATGGTGGTGTATGCCTGTAATCCCAGCTACTCAAAGGCTGAAGTGGGAGGATCGCTTGAGCCTGAGAGGTCGAGGCTGCAGTGAGCCATGATTGAGCCACTGTACTCCAGCCTGGGGGACAGGGTGAGATCTTGTCTCAAAAATAAACAAACATATAAATTAATTAATTAAGAGAAAGTGATGTGAACAACATCAGCATCTGTTGATTATAAGACATGACTGCCCTCTGTGTCCTTTCTCTTTCCCTCTTCCTACCAGCTGGGAAGTGGAAACAACTGGAGACCCAGAGAGGAAAGCCATGTGCTGAAGATCCCTGAATGACCTCATGGAGCAGAGCCCACTGGCCCACTCCAGACTGATGTGAAAGAGAGGAAAAGCACTTCCATATTGCTGGAGCCACTGTCTTTTGAGTTTCTTTATACTCTAAATAGCACAAGCACCTAATAATCAGATTTGGGAGTGCTTTAGAAACCTGATGGCACAAATAAAGGTGAATTCTGAGCAATCCAAAGCAAACCAAGTGACTGACCTCATTGGAAAGGGAAGTTAGAGCTAGAAATGTTTCCTATCCTGCTAGATGGGAGACCATTGCAAGGCTTCATGGACTCAGAGTTTGGACTCATGTGCCCATTGCAGGATGGTGATCCTTCTACTTGTAATGTCAAATCATGTGGAATAGAAAAGTACCTCCTGACACAAAGAAAATACAGGGGAGGCCGGGCGCTGTGGCTCACGCCTGTAATCCCAGCACTTTGGGAGGCCGAGGCGGGCAGATCACGAGGTCAGGAGATTGAGACCATCATGGCTAACACAGTGAAACACCGTCTCTACTAAAAATACCAAAAATTAGCCAGGCGCGGTGGCAGGTGCCTGTAGTTCCAGCTACTCAGGAGGCTGAGGCAGGAGAATGGTGTGAACTCAGGAGGCAGAGCTTGCAGTGAGCCGAGATAGCGCCACTGCACTCCGGCCTGGGCAAAAGAGTGAGACTCCGTCTCAAAAAAAAGAAAATACAGGGGAGGTAAAGTAAGCAGAAAACTGTAAAGCCTAATGGGGTGCCCAGGAATCAGGTCAATGTTCCCTAAGTCAAAATAAAGTAGCAAAAGGCCTCTCTTACAAGATCGCAGCAAAGCTGCCACCACGGGATTTTAAAATGTTAAAGGTGCCTAAAACTCTAAAGTCAGGTTCACATGCCGTAAATGTAATAAAGGATGAATTAAAAGATTCGTTCTTCTTTATGTCTTGACCTAAATCATATCCATCATTGAATGTTAGGCAGATATTTAAAAAAAAATTTTTTTTTTGAGACGGAGTTTTGCTCTTGTTGCTTAGGCTGGAGTGCAATGGCGCAATCTCGGCTCACTACAACCTCTGCCTCCCAGGTTCAAGCGATTCTCCTGCCTTAGCCTCCTAGGTAGCTGGGATTACAGGCGCCCACCACCATGCCTGGCTAATTTTTTGTATTTTTTGTAGAGATGGGGTTTCACCATGTTGACCAGGTTGGTCTTGAACTCCTGACCTCAGGTGACCCACCCACCTCGGCCTCCCAAATTGCTCGGGTTACAGGTGTGAGCCACTGCACCCAGCCTATTTAAAAATTCTTTATTAGCTAGTCTTCATCTTTTTTTTTTTTTTTTTAAACAAAGTTTGGGTGAACAGAAAGCACAGGGAGGATGACTATAGGACAATTTCAGGAGCTCTTTCAAGGCTACAACTCAAGGCTCCATGATACCTCCTGGGACAGCTACCCAGTTTCAGATATTGCACAGTCAGACTGCCTCAGACATGAGCTAGCTTTGCAAATCCAAACATAAAAAAAATTAACAGCAGTCATGACTTCTAAATTTTTTTTAAGACATCAGCTATTTCTTACTTACCTTTGAGCTAACTTCTATACCAAGCAACCAGAAAATTAAACAGCCTTTAAATGCTGAAATTTTCTTTTCCACTTTTATAAAATGTTTATTTCTTTTATCTAGAATAGCCGCGTCAACTTTTATTAAATGATTCTTTAATGATATTAAATAAAAGTATTATCAAATAGTTGTCTCTGGGCCCACCCACATATGGATCAAGGTGTGCTCTATCCACAGAATGTCTTTCAAATACAAAGGCAGCCTTGGCTCTTTGAGCTCCTCTGGTGAATGGGAGCCATGCCTACCATTCCTCCTTGCTCCCAGGACAGCCATTCCTGGCTCTGCAGCCTCGCCCTTCAGAGACCATCACAATCACCATCCAGGAAACCTGCTGTGCCTTGCAGACCCAGTCCCAGCATGTTTCAGGTCCACTGTGTAGAGACTGAATTCTGCAGGGTTTGGGAAGCAGACTGGGCTGGAGCCCTTCCAAAGGGGACAGGCTTTGGCTGCAGAGAGACCTGGACACCTTCAGGCAGCCAAGCATGGCGGGTAGGAAATGAGGGCAGGCAGCATGGGATTCTCTTCCCTTACGAATCATCCCAGCGTCCTTCTGTATGAAGGGATCTGCAGCATTTCACCATTATTACAGTGTTTACATGACGTAAAGGAAGGGGTGGGGTTGGGCAAGAGAAGAAACTCAAGGCCTCGTGAGCCCCAGGGCTTAGATTACTGCTTTTCCTCTTCCTGAAAAAATGCCAGAAATTCCTGATATGGAAAAACCATCCTTTGCAACAGAAAAAAAAAAAAAAAAAAAAAAAAAATTGGCTACTTACCAGGAGTGGAAAGTGGAAAATTTCCATTTTGGTAGAAGGTGAAAATTATGGTAGAAGTGAAACTGAAAAGTAAAGAAGTATAAGGCCCAGTTCTTTGAACACATGATCCTTTGTTCCTCATCTCTGATCCCAATAGTAAGGATGGAATGTTTATAATTATGAACTTGAGCTTTTCAAAGCATCTTACATAATTCGAAGTCAATGGGACCTTGGAAGCCCCGAGTCTAATGCTCTCCATGTTTGTGCTATTTTATTGTAATCTTCTCGAGTGTGTCTAATCTGTTACACACTCAAAAGGAATAGAGCCTGGGATCCCCGAGTTAGAAGATTACTACCAGCAGAGATCTGATCTGGGGCGGGTGTCCTGGAAGAGGTACAAAGTCATAACAGGTCTGAGAATCTGAACTGGCCTAAGAAAGGAGGAGTGGGGAGTAAAGTCTGGGAACCAGGCTTAGTTGGAGAGGAAAGGCAGATACAGGGTCAGGGATTAGGGTCAGCAGGCAGGATGAGGGAGGCAGCTTTAGTAGGGCCAGTCATTTGCACAAGAATCGCTCAAGAGCAGTGGCCTGGACAAAGAACCTCTTGTTCCAGGCAGTTTGAGTGCATTTGGTCAGCCCACTCCTAGACAGAATCTTCTGGGTTTTAGGAGTCCAGAAGTAGGGAGAGAGGGCTGACCTCAGCTCAGGAAGGGAGGGATGACCCTCCTCATCTAGTAGGGGTCTGCGGTATCCCTATCTCAAGGTCAGCCATCCTCCAGTCAGGTTCAGGGTCCTTCTGGTGAATGTGTATCTCTTAGGAGGGCCACTGGGTCAGCTCCAGGGCCAGGGTCCTCAGATTAGAGAAGCTCAACCCTCTGGCATGGCCATCTCCATCCGCCAGGGCTTGGTCCTGGCTGGGTGAGAGCTCCAGGTACTGGGGATCCTGACGGCGTCTTATATGGCATTCTGCACCCATCAATGCTCAGGGGTCACTGTCGACTGAGCGAGTCTTACCCAGCACTGCTGTTCCCTCCCCTGCTCTCCCTTCGTTTCTAGGGGATTTACTCGCATTGGAGTTGAACTGGAAGGGAAATGTAAAGAGAAGGGAAAATAGAAGGACTGCTCGGTTTTTGCTGCTCTGCACATCACTGCCCATCATATTGCATGCCCATGAACGATGCCTTGAAATTCACATCTCATCCTCTCTCTGCCCACATTGGGCTGCCCACCGCCGTCCCCATGCTAAACACCTATGAGCCAGAGTCCACACACAACTGAAATGGGGTGACAATGTGGGGAGGCAGTGGGGCAGATGAGGGTGGTTCTGCCCCTGGGTCCAGCATCCAAGGTTCATGTCCATATGGTCAAACCCCAAATACAGACACCTGCATCACGGCAGGGAGACACAGCCTCTCACCCTGTCTGCATGAGAATATTTTACTCTTCCAAAGCTGCCATCAGTGATGAGGAAGATAATGATGATGTATGTGGCGTTGGGTACGGAAAGACAGGGAGGGCAAAGAGAGAATAAGAGATCAAATCTAACAGATTTTTCTTCTCCAAATGTTTAGGAACAAAGCCCTCAGTGAGGCCTTCAGGTTTTAAATACTTAGAGGCTACAATGGCTATTTTTAACAGAATGGTACTAAATTTTAATTGCAGTTGTAAGGGCAGCAGAATGATTCTAAGTGGCTCTTCTGACTCTAGGACATTTTTTTACTGAGAGAACCATCACTGCAGAGACAGCCAGTGAAATTAGTATTAAATGTTTAATGTTGGAGCTAGCATATTAGTTTTAGGTTCAACCTAGGATCAAGTCATTTTTACTTGCTTGAGTATAATTTACAATATGTCAAGGCCCTTAATATAATCAGCATGCACAGTAGATTTGCTCTTATTCAGGATGTAACCTCATTTTATTATATAAAATGATCACAGAAACATATTGGTTTGGATCCTGCTTTTTACACCAGGGGTGGGTTGATTTAAGATTTGCTGGTGAGGCCTGTGCTTTCTAGACCTCTCCACCCCATCAGCACCATGCACATTTCACTGTAGTTCAAGACCAGCTCCGTCTTCTCCTGCCAGGAGGAAGGGGCCTTGGACGGCAGTGGGGCTGATGGGCAGCTGCAGGGGGAGGCCTATCAAAGAGGTCAAAGTGAGAGAGAACACCAGAAAGACCCACAGAGCCAGCCAGGTGGTCAGCAGTTCATGTGGAGTGGGTCTACGGCAGGTGTGGCGGGGGTGGTGGGCTTGGCTGGGTTACAGGCAGGTTGTGGAAGACCCCAGAAGTCAAGCTGAGGATGCTGGATTTTTTCTCAAAGAGCTAGGAAAGCGCAGCTTGGGTTCTGTGTGTTAAAGATCATACATAGCAGTATTAACCCAGAAGGACCAAAGCAGGAAAGACAGGGAGCAGGGAGACTATGTCCAAGGCTACTGCCATCATCTGAACGAAAAGAGAAGACCCTGGACCAGGAGAAAGGCTAGAGGAGATGAAAGTAGAGGATGGCTATGAAAGATTCCATGGAGGCCAGGCGCGGTGGCTCCCGCCTGTAATCCCAGCATTTTGGGAGGCTGAGGCAGGTGGATCACGAGGTCAGAAGTTCGAGACCAGCCTAACCAACATGGTGAAACACCGTCTCTATTAAAAACACAAAAATTAGCCAGGTGTGGTGGCACGTGCCTGTAGTCCCAGCTATTCAGGAGGCTGAGGCAGGAGAATCGCTTGAACCCAGGAGGCAGAGGTTGCAGTGAGCCAAGATCACACCAATGCACTCCAGCCTGGGCGACAGACTGAGACTCCATCTCAAAAAAAAAAGACTCAGTGGGGAATGGAACCAACAGGACTGAGAACCTCTGCCTGAATCCACCCAACCCTCAGCTCCATGAGCAACGCCACCAGGAATATCTGAGTGTTCTCCTGACATTTGGTCTCTGAATTGTAGCATGATGGTTGGGGAGCAAACACAACGTGCTCTGCAGTTCATGTTTTTTATTGTGGAAGTAACACATCCACATAAAAAATATTTAGGAAAAACGTAGAAAAAATAGATACGAAACAAAACAAAACCAAAAAACCCCAGCCCCACTGTTCATAAAATGAATACTCCTAACATATTGGTACATTCTTTTTTGTTGTTGTTTTTGAGACAGGGTCTCGCTCTGTTGCCCAGGCTGGAGTGCAGTGGCGTGATCTCAGCTCACTGCAACCTCTGCCTCCTGGGTTCAAGCGATTACCCCATCTTAGCCTCCTGAGTAGCTGGGACTATAGGTGCATGCCCCCACACCCAGCTAATTTTTGTATTTTTGATAGAGATGAGGTTTCACCATGTTGACCAGGCTGGTCTTGAATTCCTGACCTCAAGTGATCCACCCGCCTCAGCCTTCCAAAGTGCTGGGATTACAGGCATGAGCCACCGCACCTGGCCAGTATGTTCGTTTTACTGTATTTTCCAGCCATTGAGATTTGTTGTTGTTGTTGATTTTTTAACTTGATTGCAAATACTGTCTACATAATTATGGATTCTGGTTTTCATTTACTTAAAGCATTTTTCAAATTACATGGAAAGTATCTTTATAAACACAATTTTTATTGACTAGATAACATTTTATCAAATGACATACACCATAATTCACTGAAATATTCTCCTCTGACTGGACATTTTACTTCTACTTTTTCATTATTATAAATAACAAGATAACGAACATCTCTGTGTGTGAAGGTAGACTGTATTTAAGATTGATTCCTTGGGGCCTGGCGCAGTAGCTCATGCCTGTAATCCCAACACTTTGGCAGGCTGAGGCGGGAGGATTGCTTGAGCCTGGGAGTTCCAGACCAGGCTGGGCAACATGGTGAAACTCCATTTCTACAAAAAATACAAAAAATAAGCCAGGCATGGTAGCACTTGCCTGTAGTCCCAGTTATATGGGAGGCTGAGGTGGGAGGACGTCTTGAGCCCAGGAGGCTGAGGCTGCAGTGAGCCAAGATCATGCCACTGCACTCCAGTCTGGGTAACACAGCAAGACCTTGTCTTAAAAAAATAATAATAATAAATAAGTAAATAATAAAAAATTTGATTCTTTGGGATCAACAAATAGAAATGGAATTACTGAGTGAAAGGGCATAAGTGTTTTTAAAGCTCTTGACACATTATTTCAAAATTACTTTCTAGAGAGTTTCAACCAATTTGTACTCTTTCTAGAAAAGAATGAAAATGCTTCCCGTTTTGCCATCTATTGGTTAATACTGGAAATTATATTTCCTTTGTGATGAATTTAATAAGTTAGCATCTTAGTATTTCAGTATGCACCTTTGATCACAAGTCTGTTGAGTGTCATCCCACGTGTGTGGCAAGCTCTCTCTCCTCTCCTGTAAGTCGCTTGTTTGTGGCTCTTGCCTCAAACCTCTTAGTGTCTCAGTTTCTCCACTCCACCCACTATTTGGTATGAGCTACTAATATATAAGTTTGAATCCTTTGTCTTAATTTTCGAATATACTTTTTTGTTGTTCGTCTCTTAAACTTTGAGTGTTTCTTTTTTCTTTTTTTTTTTTTTTTTTTGAGACAGTCTCAATCTGTCTCCCAGGCTAGAGTGCAGTGGTGCAAACACAGCTCACTGCAGCCTTGACCTCTTGGGCTCAAGCCATCCTCCCACCTCAGCTTTCTGAGTAGCTGGGACTACAGGTGCATACCACCACGCCCAGCTTATTTTTGTTTATTTTTTGTAGAGATGGGCAGTATGTTGTCCAGGCTGGTTTTGAACTCCTGGGCTCAAGTGATCCTCCCACCTCAGCCTCCTAAAGTGCTGGGATTATAGGTATGAGCCACCGTGCCTGGTCTCAGTGTTTCTATATTGACATCAAAATATTTAAATTTTTCAACAGTTAAGTCTATTGATCAGTCACTTGCTTTAAGATTTCTTCTCTCTTTAAACATAGAAAGCCCTTCTCTTTCAGAAGATTGATAAATATTTCACCTAAGTGTATTTTTAATGGACAAATTGCCCTTAACTCTGTCTTCTTACTAGAATGTAGATGACTCCTCCTTTGTTTTCAAGACAGTAAGTGGGATAAGGCAGGACAGGTTGGATGAGGATGGTGGTGCAATCAAACCTTAATTTTTTTTAAGGCCCCAGACTGTATGAGGGCTTCTGTATGGAAACGCAAGAGAGAATGGATGCTGGAAGAGGTGCTTGTAGGAAGCCAACACCCTTTTCTTCCCAAACCTCAGCAGCAGCATCACACTAGACCCTGCCTTTGGAAGATCACATGGGATATACTCCTTAGCCCCAGTCCCCAGTTTTCTTGGTCTGTTTGATAATCTATTTCTTTTTTTTTTCTTTTTTTGAGACAAAATCTTACTCTGAGAGTCACCCATGTTGGAATGCAGTGGCACAATCATGGTTCCCTGCAGCCTCGACCTTCTGGGCTCAAGTGATCCTTCTGCTTCAGCCTCCCAAGTAGCTGGCACTACAGGTGTGCACCACCACACCTGGCTAATTTTTAAATTTTTTGTAGAGATGGAATCTCACTACATTGCCCAGGTTAGTCTTGAACTTTTGGCCTCAGTGATCCTCCCACCTTGACCTCCCAAAGCGCTGGGATTACAGGCGTGAGCCACTCTGCCTGGCCATCATTTTCTTAAAAGGACCCTATGTTTAGCCTAACAATATAGTTCCTGACAATCTCTCTCCCTCTCTTCCAAACTACTTACCCATATCGATGGCGACCCACGTCACGGATGAGCCTCTCAGAGAGGTAGGCGCCAATACGATCAAGTTTTTCTGGAGCTGAGAGGGCATAGAAGGTCAGCTTCTCCATGTTGGTCTTCACCAGACCATCCTGTAGGAGAAAACAGCTTGTGCTCACTATGGCCACACTATGGCTAGACGAGTTCAAGTCTAGAGAAAAATAATAATTCGACGGAATCAACATTTACAGAGTGTCCTTTATGGATGTGCCGGAGCACATGTGGGTTTCAGAGACAGGCAGATGATTAAAACATAGTTTTAGTTATAGGCTCACGCCTATAATCCCAGCACTTTGGGAGGCTGAGGTGGGCAGATCACGAGTTTGAGACCGGCCTGGCCAACATGGTGAAACACCTGTCTTTACTAAAAATACAAAAATTAGCCAGGCATGGTGGCGAGTGCCTGTAATCCCAGCTACTCAGGAGGCTGAGGCAGGAGAATTGCTTGAACCCGGGGAGCGGAGGTTGCAGTGAGCCAAGATTGCACCATTGCACTCTAGCCTGGGCGACAGAGTGAGACTCCGTCTCGGGGGGAGAAAAAGAATTGTAAGTGATACAAACGTATAAAATGTATATATGTGTGTGCATGTGTATGGATATATATACATGAATGTATACATGTATGTGTGTATGGGTGTGTATATATATACCGTGTGTGTGTGTGTGTGTAAGTGTGTGTGTGTGTGTGTGTAGGAATGGATGATACAGCATCATTAAAAGCCACCCAGGCCGGGTGTGGTGGCTCACGCCTGTAATCCCAGCACTTTGGGAGCCTGAGGTGGGCGGATCACAAGGTCAGGATATCGAGACCATCCTGGCCAACATGGTGAAATCCCGTCTCTGCTAAAAGTACAAAAAATTAGCTGGGCATGGTGGCACGTGCCTGTAATCCCAGCTACTCAGGAGGCTGAGGCAGAAGAATTGCTTAAACCAGGGAGTCAGAGGTTGCAGTGAGCCGAGATCGCGCCACTGCACCCCAGCCTGGCAACAGAGCGAAACTCCGTCTCAAAAAAAAAAAGCCACCCCAAATTAAAGCATGTTGGATAGCCGGCACCAAGACACACACAGGACGAAGGCAGCTCTGCAGCTCTTAGGGAACTCTACAAAGGATGCTCCCATCAAGACAGGCCATTGGTTCCCAGAGAGCAAGTCAAGTACATCAGATCCCAATGTTTCCCAGCCCACGACCCACAAAGCAGCCTGACAGGTGGAGAGGCGGCTTGGAGGCCAGGCCCTGTGTGTGTGCCCCTAGACACCTGGCAGACACCAGAGAGTGGCAGCCAGGGGGAAAGACCTGGGCTCCTGAGCCCAACCCAAGACAGGGGAGTCCTCACACTGACCGGCAGGGAGCTACGATCACTCAAAGAGTTAGCAGCTCCAGAGGCAATCACACAGAGAGACATGCAGGAGAAAGATGTCTCGGTTGGACAGTGATGGCCACAAGCATGCCAAGACGCACTTCCAGCTGCCTTCTGCAGATCCAAATGCCCTCATCCTTCATGTCCCTAGCGGCCTCTCACCACTGCCCATGGCTGTAGCCCAGGTTCCAGTTTCTCTGGGAAGGCTCAGTGCCCAGGGACCCTGAGAGGCCCTGCCTTCCCCACCCGGCAGGAGGCCTGGCTTCCAAGCTGCCCCCGTCAGAGGCCCTGCCTGGACCATGAGAGCCACGATGCCTGCCAGAGACATGACCCACCTCGGGATCCTCAGGGAAGATGTTGTCAACCAGCCTTTTGTACCTGGGGCGTAGGGCACCACAGCAGCCACACACACCTGGAATAAGAATGGGAAAAACTGTGAGCAAAGCCTCCTGGTCGGGCCCAGGAAAGGTTGGAGCCAGGGCCAGGGCAGCCTGTGAGTGGCAGGAAACAGACAGGCTGGAATCAGACAGACCCCTCCCTTGGAGGGCTCGGGGCCTTGTCCTCCCAGAGCTGGCATCTCTCATTGTCCCCTACCCCCACACTCTAAGACATCTGCCATGTGCCATTCTGGCACCTTCATGTCTTTTGCTTGGGGGTTGGGCACAGTGCCATATGCAAGGCCAGGCCACAGGGAGCATTTTGAGGGGTGAGGCTTCGTGGGTGGGAGCTTACATAAAGGTCAGGTGCTGCGCCCGCCTACTGTGCTATTACACACACTCACACACAGACACACACTCACGTTTCCGGGACAGGAATATGAAACTGCCTCCTGCAGCCCAAGAATCTAACCAAGCATCCTGGGAAGATGGATACAGGTTTCGGGGGCAGGTGTTATTCCCTATCTGCCACCTCGTTTGCCCCTAACTTTCTTTATTCCCTGCTCTTCAGTCTCCCTCTATCGTCCTATCTCCTGGAGCCATTTCCATTATAGAAAGTTATGTGCAACTATGATAAAATTAACATCATCATCAACGATTCACATTTGACGATGCATCTTTAACGCAGTGTGACAGTGGAATTTGAAAACTGCGGCCTTTTAGAGTTGGGCAGGGCCTTGAGGGGCATCCGGTTTGTGGTTCTCAAATGCTGGCCCCCAGTGAGGTTTGCACCAATCTGTAGCAAAATGAAAAATCTAACAACCCTGTGGTATGTTTGTGTAAAGCTAAATTTACTCCATTGAGAAGACTGAAGTGACCTCCTCCTTCATGTTTTGGTTCTGTGAAGTGATGGTGTTAGGAAACCACTGATAAAACAAACTGGCAAAATTAGAAGTTGGCAACTCTAGGTCTCACCATAAAAAGTTTTAATTAGTAAAGGAATAATAGCCATTGCACTTCTTCAGTCAACTTCCAAATCCACCCAGCTTCACCCCTCACTGAGGGGGCGGGCGGGCATGGAGGAGGAGAGAGGAGGACTTCAGGGAGGGGCCCGGGGGGCCTGGGAAAGTCCACCTCCTCCCTCCCGCCCAGTAAGCACCCCTTCATTCTGCCAATTAAAGATGAATTCTATCTGTACAAGCACACCACTTGAAATGCAAATGTGCCGTGGGAAGATTAAGCCTACAGGTCATTCAGAAAAGAATGAGTTCCTTCATTGGGAATTACTTTAATCACAAAAGAGGTTTACATAGGGCGGAGAAAAGAGTTCTTTGGGAGTTTTGATTGGGAGGGGGATGGGGTGGGTGCCACTGGAGGAGGAAAGAGCAGTAGTTTTGGCTCTGGGGTGATTTGGGTTTGGGGATGGGCATGTCCTTGGAGTAGCCATGGGGCACCAAGAGGATGGCGGGCACCCAGGGGCAGATAACTTATTTGTGATCCCCTCCACCACCCTCAGCTTCCACCCGCCCCAGCACAGAAGGGACCAGGCAGACCAGTGGGCGGGCTGCATGCCCAGGCTCTCCAGGTTCAGCCTCCTTGCTCGACCTCGTTCCTGGCATCTCCTCACCCTCTCCCTGCCCCTGCCTGAGAAAAGGTGTTGGGGTTCTGGTTGGCATCCAGGGTTATTTCTTGTGATGGGACAGCTCCCAGGGGCCCAGTCCCCCTTCTTGGGCCTGGAAGCCCAGGGTTTAAACCTGCAGCTGCCCAGTCTTCTGCCTGGCGCAGCTGCCAGGATGTGTCTTTCCAAGGTGCCCAGGTAGCACACGCTCCACGCTCTCCCAGCAGCCTCCCTAGTCATAGTCCCTAAACCAGGAACATTGGCCCTTTTGCATTTTAAGGGAGTGAGGAAATAGAAACATGGGGAAGTTAGGACTAAAAAAATTGTAGTGTCAGTTCCTGCCTTGAAACTTTCTGAAGGGCCTGTGAGCTGAGGCCTGCGCTGGACAAAGGCCAAGCTCACAGCTGCTAGAACCCAGGCTTGTCAAGGAGAGAGCTCAATACCATCCTGGGTACTCACGGTAGAAACTTCCACACAGTGCCCCAAGGGGGCTGTGGGGTTGTCAGTGCAGCTACTCTGGCTGGAGAGGGTTCCCTGAGACATCAGGCCGGGACAGTCCTGGTCTGGGGACACCAACTCAGTTCTTCTCAAATGAAAACCAGACAGGCTGCTGCCTCCTGCTCTCTTGTATTCCAGAAGGGGAGCTCCTCAGGCCACCCCTTGCTATATCCTTCCCTCTCTGGTCCACAGGCCCTCCAGGGAAGGCACCTTCCCCAGCACAGAGGCCTCCAGGAGCCGCCACCACACAGGGCCCATGGTGGGCGGGAACCAGTCCCAGGCAGGGCCCCAGGGCCTTTCTGCACCAGTAGAAAGGAGGTAAGAAGGCCTAAAGAATAACAGGGGAAGGTGAGGGCTTCCCGACTTACTCCCCAACACTTCTTTCTTGTCTTTCCTTTCTTCCTAACCTCTTCAGCCCTCTGAGGGCAGGGGCTAGGGAGGCAGCGTGGCCAACAGCATGGGCTCTCAGGTCAAATCCTGGCACTGCCACTTCCTAAACTGTGACTTGGAACAAGTAACAACATTCTCTATGCATGGGTGTCCTATCTCTATAACAGGGCTAGGGCTATCCCACATGGCTGGTAGAAGACCAGAGCCAGTCCAGGGCTATAAAGCACTTATAGCAGGGCCAGGACTGTCAGGCCCCAGGAAGGTTCTGGAAGCTGCCCGCCCCTTTCTGCTTTCCCCCAGGCCCAGTGCCATTGAGCCCTTCCATCCATGCCAGCTGGTCAATGCTGGCTTGGTACATCTTAGCAGGGCTATCCCACTGACCACTTGCTTGGCCACAGCGACCAAGGCCCTTAGACATCCAAAGGCCTAAGAGTTGAGAATCACAGAACACAGACTCCATCCGATTTCCCACGTGGGTCTGAAACACGTGCCACTTCCCCAAGGCAGCTCTGTACACTTGCAAGTAACAATACCTTGACCTCAACCTGCATTCCTGTCTGGCCACCTTCCCAAAGCCAGAACCTCAGCACCAACTCTACAAACCCCAGTGCAAAGGTGACACAACATGAGCTCACACAACAGAATGGAGCTACAAACAAGAGGCACGCTGGAGAGAATCCATGGGACTTGCCATTGGAAGGCCACTAGTGGAGTGGCTGCCATGCGGTAGGGGAAGAGGAGGTGAAGCTTAAGGGACTGACGAGTGCACGAGGAAGCTTCAGCAATCAAGGCAGTGCACTTCTAGTGAAAGAACTGACAGGTGGATCAGCTGGACATCCACATGCAAAAAAAAATGAACATATACACAGCCCTTACACCCTGGACAGAAGCTTACTCAAAATAAATCATTCACCTGAATGTCAAACTCAAAGCTATAAAACTTCTTGAAGATAACATAGGAAAAAGCCTAGATGACCTTCGCTTTTGGCGATGACTTCTTAGATAAAAAACCAAGGGCACAATCCACGACAGAAAGAACTGATAAAATGGAATTCATGAAGATTAAAAATTCCTGCTCTTTGGCTGGGCACGGTGGCTCAAGCCTGTAATCCTGGCACTTTGGGAGGCTGATGTAGGTGGATCACTCGAGGTCAGGAGTTCGAGACCAGCCTGGCCAACATGGTGAAACCCCATCTCTACTAAAAATACAAAAACTAGCTGGGCATGGTGGCGGGTGCCTGTAGTCCCAGCTACTTGGGAGGCTGAGGCAGGAGAATCACTTGAACCCGGAGGCTGCAGTGAGCTGAGATTGTGCCATTGCACTACAGCCTCAGCAACAGAGCGAGACTCCAGCTCAAAAAAAAAAAAAAATCCTGCTCTTCAAAAGGCGCCGTCAAAAGAATGAAAAGTCATAGACTAGGAGAAAGTATTTGTAGAAGACATAGCTAATAAAGAATATATGTGTGTGTGTGTGTATATATATATATATATACATATATGAAGATTTTATATATATACATAATCTTCAAAATATAAGGAACACTGACATGGTTTGGCTGTGTCCCTACCCAAATCTCATCTTGAATCGTAGTTCTCATAATCCCCACGTGTCATGGGAGGGACCTAGGGGGAGGTAATTTAATCATGGGGACAGTTACCCTCATGCTGTTCTTGTGACAGTGGGTGAGTTCTCACGAGATCTGACAGTTTTATGAGGGGCTTTTCCCTGCTTCACTCTGCACTTCTCCTCGCCGCCGCCATATGAAGGACGTGTTTGCTTCCCCTTCTGCCGTAATTGTAAGTTTCCTGAGGCCTCCCCAGCCATGCTGAACTGTGAGTCAATTAAAGCTCTTTCCTTTATAAATTACGCAGTCTCAGGTATGTCTTCGTTCACAGCATGAGAATGGACTAATACAAACACTTAAAACTAAACAATAAGAAAATAACCCAATTAAAAATGGGGCCAGACGGGGTGGTTCATGCCTGTAATCTCAGCACTTTGGGAGGCTGAGGCGGGCAGATCACTTGAGGTCAGGAGTTCAAGACCAGCCTGGCCAACATGGCAAAATCCTGCCTCTACTAAAGATACAAAAATTAGCCAGGTGTGGTGGCGTATGCTTGTAATCCCAGCTACTTGGGAGGCTGAGGTAACAGAATCACTTGAACCCAGGAGGCAGAGGTTGCAGTGAGCCAAGATCATGTCACTGCACTCCAGCCTGGGAGACAGAGCAAGACTCTGTCTCAATAAATAAATAAATAAAGGGCCTGAAACCTTAATAGACATCGCAGCAAAGGAGATATGCAGGTGGCAAATAAGCCTATGAAAAGATGCTCCACATCATATGTCATCCAGGAAATGTAAATTAAAACAACAATGAGATACCACTCCACACCTATTAGAATGGCCCAGATCCAGAACACTAACAGTGCATGCTGGCAGGGATGTGGAGCAGCAAGAACCCTCATTCATTGCTGGTGGGAATGCAAACTGGTACAGCCACTTTGGAAGACAGTTTGGCAGCTTCTTAAAAAATTAAATAAACTCTTACCATACAATCCAGCAATCACACCCCTTGGTATTTACCCAAAGGAAATGAAAACTATGTCT
This sequence comes from Homo sapiens, assembly GCF_000001405.40. Taxonomy (NCBI): domain Eukaryota; kingdom Metazoa; phylum Chordata; class Mammalia; order Primates; family Hominidae; genus Homo; species Homo sapiens. The sequence continues at coordinate 25,086,245 of NC_000002.12, read as the reverse complement.
ACACAAAAACCTGCACGTGGATGTTTACCGCAGCTTTATGTAGAATTGCCAAAACTTGGAAGCAACCAAGATGTCCTGCAGTGGGTGAATAAACTGTGGTACATCCAGACAACGGAATATTATCCAGCACTAAAAAGAAATGAGTGATCAAGCCATGAAAAGACATGGAGGAAACTTAAATGTATATTACTAAGGGAAAGAAGCCAATCTGAAAAAGCTACATACTGTATGCTCTAAAAAATAGAGTCTTAAAAAGAAAAAGTACATGGGGTAGGAGAGCAGATGCTCTGGCGAGCAGAGCCACAGTCCCCAAACTGTGTTCCATGAAACACTAGCTGTGTGATGCTAACAAGCATTTCCCAGAAAAAGGCTCCAAGGACAAATAAATATATGAAGCCAGGCATACTAAATCCCCCATCCCAGATTCATAGCACAAATTAACATATTCTGAAAAGTCAACAGCCACTAGCACCCTCATTTTGGTCAGGCGCGGTGGCTCACACCTGTAATCCCAGCACTTTGGGAGGCTGAGGCAGGCAAATCACTTGAGGTCATGAGTTCGAGACCAGCCTGGCCAACATGGTGAAATCTCGTTTCTACTAAAAATACAAAAATTAGTCAGGTGTGGTGGTGCAGGCCTGTAGTCCCAGCTACTTGGGAGACTGAGGCAGGAGAATCACTTGAGCCGGGGACGTGGAGGATGCAGTGAGCTGAGATTGTGCCACCACACTCC